>NW_025791803.1:359027-538541 GCF_000001405.40 Homo sapiens | reverse complement strand
GAATTCTAGGAGAGGGAACAGCATGGGCAAAAGCCCAGGAGTAGAAAGGGCAGCAGTGCCTGGGAAGTCCTGAGTTAACCCATCAGGCGTGGGAGTGGAAGCTGCAGAAAGGTTTTGGTCAAAGTGACATGCGCTCATTTATTCAACAAATGCTTTATGGTACCATTCATGTTAAATAATAATAATAATAATAATAAAACGCTCACCGGAACTGAGGATGTGTCAGATGTGGGTACAGAGAGGAATGAGAGTATCTGGCCTCCTGGAGTTAAGAATCTAGTGATCAAGAAAACTACAACCTGATGGGCATTTTACCCCCATTTTATAAATGAGAATAAGTGATACCAGTGTGGGGTTACTCAGAGAGGTTAAGTGCTTTGCCCAAGACCACATGGCTCATCCATCTCAGAGGAAGGAGTCTACTCCCAGGATCCCTGAACAGCTGAGAGTACTCGTAGATCTCTCTGACAGGTGGCTGAGGGGAGAAGGGACTTGGAGGTGGGTAGGACTGGGGAATTGACACGGGGCAGGGGGTGTAGGCAATACTAGAGGGAACAGACTAGAGGCAGAAAGTCAGCAGAGAGGCCATTGCAACTGTCAGACATGATGAGTGAGAGTTGAGATCAGGACTACCATGTTCAGCTGCACAGGTTGGGTACTGCACAATTTCCATAGACTACAGTGATAATAGTGCCCCTTGGAGTTAGGTAGCAGTGACCCTGGCTAATAGAGGGACCAGATTCACACACATGACTGTGCATGTAGCCACAGGTCTTCAGCTCCTGGGCTAACAGCTGCCAGCTAAACCCCACACTGCTATCAAGGGCCACATTCTGTTTTCTCCTGGGGAGGAAGTGGCAGCTTCGCCCCAAACGTGTTTCACACCCTGGGTGACCCACAAGGCCAGTCCATTCTTCACTAATGTGACAAAGATGCTGGTGCATGAAGGGTTCCAAGAGGAAAGAACATTGGCAAACTGCCTCCACCTCTGTGCTGGGAGGCCCAGAGGTGCACATGAGCATTTTGAAGACCCCCAGAAGCCCCACAGCCAGGAAGCTGGTACATCTTTCCTTGATGCATCTCCCAGGCTCCCGTGCAGAGAAGGCCCATTCTGAGAGGCACCTCCAAACACCCCTGGCACAGCCCCAGCTGGCAGGCTCAGTGCCACCTGCCTCTTCAACCAAAGGGCTTCCATTTTAGGACCCCCTATATCCAGGTCAGAGCCATCTTCAGGCCTCCAAAAGCAGCAGGAAGGGGCTGGGAGAATCTTGCCTCCCCGCAATGCCCTGCGGGGCTCCCATGATACTTTGCTTCATGCCTCTGGGTAGAAGATGGTCCTGCAGCACTGCAGATGCTCCTGATGCGCAGCTCCCAAGCTATGCAGCTCCTCAAAGGAGTCCTCTGGTCCTGCCTCCAGGGATGGGGTGGAGGGAGTGAGGAGAGGCCTGGGACACCTGAGGAGCCTCAGGAAAGGTGGACTCAGCCCGCATTCTGAGGCAACTGGATCAGATGCAGCTAAAAATCCTGGCCCTGCACACTGTGGCCCCAAGGCCTTGGACACACGTCTTAACTGCTGTCTGAGCCTCAACTTCCTCATCAGCGAAATGGGTACCACAGTACCTACTTGGCAGGGTTGGTCTGCTGGGGGTGGTTAAAGGAGATTAGCATGGGGACACTCCATCTGTCCCTTCCCTCAAGGCCTTTTGTCTGGCTCCTGCTGAGACCTGGGTCAGACTGGAAGGTTCCCTGTGTTGAGAATGCAGACTTCAGGACAGAGAGAGATGGGGTGCAGATAGAGAGAAGAGACAGAGCGGGGAGGGGAAAAGGAGAGAGAGGAAGGGAGGATAGTCAGGGACGGAGAGGGAGGCACACATGCAGACAGAGACACACACAAAGAGAGAGAGCACAGAGGCACAGAAAGGGCCAAGTTGAGAGACAGAGGGTAGGGCAGCAGGAGGGGTGTGGCCACCTGCGGGGCTGGGGGTGAGGGTGGTGGGGGTCAGGCCTGCTCCCACCCCCAGGCTGTAACAGCCTTCAAAGCTCCCGCTGGGTCTCTTATCAGTCCTAGGAGGCAGCTGGGTGACTCCTCCTCTCCTTCCCACTCTCCCTCCACCTTGTCCCGCCCCACCCCGGAGAAAGGGGAAGAAGCAGGCAGGAAGCCAGTTCCAGGGGGGACTGGGGTGGGGTGAGAGAGGGAATGGATAGTGCTTCCCCAGGTTAGGCCTGGGGACCCCTTTGAGGAGAAGGAGAGGACACAGGGCATGGCCGGAACTGGGGACCCCTGGGGAGAGGTGAGAGTGTGACCTGCTAGTTCTTGGAATCTCTGTGAGAGGTCAGCTCCTGACTCTGGAAAGGCCCTCAGTCAACGTCAGTGAACAAACAGGGACCAAGTAACTTGGTCAGGCCCAGCGCAGGGCACAGCAAGCCATGAAGCTGGTCCTCGTCCCCCAGGAGAACACAGTCGAGAACCTGTGAGGAAGGCCCTCCAAATTCCCATTCTCTACCTAAAACACGATGCTTGTTAACTAAACTCTAGTTTCTCTCTTTCCCCCAGTTCTGTGAACTTTGGCCACCCTCACCTGAGCAACTCACTATCCCTCCTTACAGCCCTCCGGAGGACAGGTTGGCCTGCATTAAGACAGGCCCCCAGGACCAGGCCACCTTTTCAACCTACCTCCCCGCACCAGTTCTTTCAAGCCTTGTTTACTCTTGCCTAGAAAAGAACAACCCTTTCGGCTTAACTTTGGAGGTGCAGGAGGATCTTCTGGTCAGTGCTCTCTCCCACTGCAATGCTCCCGCTTCCATTGGAATAGTCCCCTCCCCACCACCCCCAGGCAATAATAATCCTTTAATAAGTCTCTCCTTAGTAAATCAAGATTCCTTTTTATCTCTTCCTGACAGCTATGAAATTATTTACAATAAAAGACACATTCATAGCTAGAGTAGTAAAAATAAAAATAAACCATAGAGAAAAAGGAGGTAAATGATTAAATGGAAAGGCAGATTTTATTGATTCACCAGTCTCATTAGCTCTAAGTTTTCTGACTTACCAAAACCAAAAAGGACAGCAAGGGGATAGTTATGCTGTAACTCTTGTTATCTGATGTAAAAAGGTATCATTTCATCAGGAAGGACTTCTTTTCTGGTACAAAATCCTAAAAAGAATGTACTAGGGGCCAGCAGGGTGGCCCACGCCTGTAATTCCAGCACTTTGGGAGGCTGAGGGGGGCGGATCGCTTGAGCTCAGGAGTTCGAGACAAGCCTGGGCAACATGGTGAAAGCCCGTCTCTACAAAAAATACAAACGTTAACTGAGAGTGGTGCCGCATGTGTGTAGTCCCAGCTACCTGGGAGGCTGAGGTGGGAGGATTGCTTGAGCCTAGAAGGCTGGGCCAAGATTGTGCCACTGCACTCCAGCCTGGGTGACAGTGAGACCCTGTCTCAAAAAAAGAATATATTGGATCAAAGAGTACACAGGATGACAAATCAGCTGTAAGGTTTCCTGTAGCAATTCTAATGAAATTGAAGCAATATTCAATGAGCCGTGAGAATAAAAACAAAATGTACAACAGTAAAGACGTATTTGCAAGGAGGTAAGAGCAAACAGCGCTTTCTGACACGGAACTTGGTATTAGGATAGATAATGGAAAATCTAAAGGAATAGGGTTAACATGACCTGAAGATGCTGAAGATGACTGACTTTCTCCGATATCACATGTCAGAGCTGAGCCTCTGCCTGTAAGCCCAGGATGGCACTCTCAGCGGAGGGTGAGTGCAGCTGCCTTGGGAGCGTCAGCCCTGAAGGTGGCAAAGCTGACATTCACTGCAGCAGGTAAGGGTCCTGACATGCCTCCTGCCTGGTACCCATCTCAGAGGCCCCTTCAGCCTAGATTAAAGTTTCCCTTGAGGAGAAGGGGTCTGACCAAGAATGTTGCAAGTCACAGCACAAGACAGAAACCCCAGGCTGGGCTCGATAAGGCAGTTGTTTTGAAATATTGGTTGTAAAGTCAACCAATTATCAACACATTATCAGAGCAGACCCACTCCCTGTGGTCAAAGGAGACCTAGTTTGAGTAGGTACAGTGAGGTACCCATGTGTACAAGGCAGAGGACTGGGGAAGGGACTGAGGCAGGAACTTGAAGGGGATCCAAATATGCCACCCTGCAATACGCCACTTTGGCATAAGGATTATTTTGAGCTGAAGGCAACTGAGAAACAGCAGACACAGGATGAGCTCTCTGCCCTCCCCTTAGGTGCCTGAAAGTAGGGCATAAATTTCCATTTGTAAATGTGCCCCCCTCTCCCGTCCCATGAAAAGGAGAATAAATCCAATGGGGAGGTTATGTATCTGTATAACACATCTAAACCACCACCCCCAATCTAACACACATTTCCTAGCTACCTTCCCAGAATATACTGCCCTTAGGAGCCCAAATCCCCCTCTTCCTTGTTTAGTTACTTGCCCACAACTTATCTTCCTTTGTCAAAATTGTATATAAACCCTGGGTCTGACCATCTCTTTGGCTTTTCATGCATGTAAAATTAAAAACAACAATAAAATTCGTATGCCTTTTTTCTATTAATCTGTCTTTGCTCAATTTTATTTGCAGACTGCAGACATAACATAAAAGGGTAGAGGAGAAGTTTTTCCTCCCCTACAGACTTGTTCAGACAGGAGACCAGAGACTGGAGACCAGTCCTCTTCCTGCCTGTTCCCACTGTGGTGCTAATCGTCAGTTCACCTGGCACCTCCACTGCCTCCCTAGAGCCCACAGACAGTTTCCATCTTTTTTTTTGAGAAGGAGTCTTGTTCTGTTGCCCAGGCTGGAGTGCAGTGGTACAATCTTGGCTCACTGAAACCTCTGCCTCCTGGGTTCAAGCGATTTTCCTGCCTCAGCCACCCGAGTAGCTGGGACTACAGGCAGGAACCACCGGGCCTGATTAATTTTTGTATTTTTAGTAGAGACGGGGTTTCACCATGTTGGCCAGGATGGTCTTGAAGTCCTGACCTCAAGCGATCCACCTGCCTCGGCCTCCCAAAGTGCTGGGATTACAGGCATGAGCCATGGCCGCCTGACTGAGTTTCCATCTTAAGAATCAGACTTAGGCAAGGCACAGTGGCTCATGCCTGTAATCCCAGTGCTTTGGGAGGCTAAGGTGGGCAGATTGCTTGAGGTCATGGGTTCGAGAACAACCTGGCCAACATGGTGAAACTCCATCTCTATTAAAAATACAAAAATTAGTTGGGCGTGGTGGCACATACCTGTAGTCCCAGCTACTCGGGAGGCTGAGGCAGGAGAATCGCTTGAACCCAGGAGGCGGAGGTTGCAGTGAGCTGAGATCGCACCACTGCACTCCAGCCTGGGTGACAGAACGAGACTCCATCTCAAAAAGAAAAGAATCAGACTTTATGCTCTGTCTTCTATGACAGCCATTTTCATTTTCCTGGTCAGGAAATGGAATGTAGCAATGATCTGGTTGAGAACAGCTGTTTAATCTCTCTAATACAATGTTGGAGCATTTGCCCTCTGGCTCGGCAGGTGTGGTTTTCATGTGATCAGGCCAGTCTCTGCCCTGGGAGAATGGTCTGACAAAGGGGTGGGCTCAATTCTTGAGAATGCCCAGGGGCTGACTTTTCTAGCTAGTGCTAGAGCAGCAGGTGGCTGTGGGTGGGGCTGGGGGGGATGCGGTTGTGGGAGGAGGACTGGGCCCCAGGCCTTGCTATCAGCACCTGGTCACCACCCCTGAGTCAAAAGATATTCAATGGACCATGATATGTCTCACAATCTATGCATTGTGAGTTGAGAAATGCCAGTATTTTCCACAGTGCGGAGAGCCTTCCATGCACTTTCTTTTCTTTTCTTTCTTTTTTTTTTTTTTTTTTTTTGAGACGAGTCTTGTGCCCAGGCTGGAGTGCAGTGGTGCGATCTCAGCTCAAGTGATTCTCCTGCCTCAGCCTCCCTAGTAGTTGGGACTACAGGCATGCACCACCACGCCCAGCTAATTTTTGTATTTTTAGCAGAGACAGCATTTCACCATGTTGGCCAGGCTGGTCTCGAACTCCTGACCTCATGTAATTCACCTGCCTTGACCTCCTACTTCCATGCACTTTCATGTTTCATTTTGACAACGACCCTGGGAGGAAGACACGAGTTACAACCTCCATCTAGCAAGTGAAGAAAGTGAGGCTCAGGGAGGCTAAGTTCCTTGTTCGGCGTGGCCCAAGTAGTATGTGACAGCATCAGGATTCAAACTCAGAACTCTTGGACTCCAAAGGTCCCAAACTCTCCCCAGGTTTGTTTTTTTTTTTTTTTTTTTTTTTTTGAGGTAGGGTCTCTCTCTATGGTACAGGCTGGAGTGCAGTCGTGTGATAATATAATAGCTCACTGCAGCCTCAACCTCCTAGGCTCAAGTGATCCTCCCACCTCAGCCTCCTGAGTAGCTGGGACTACAGGCACACGCCACCATGCCTGGCTACTTTTTAATTTTTTTGTAGATATGGGGTCTCTCTATGTTGCTTAGGCTGGTCTCCAACTCCTGGGCTCAAGCAATCCATCCACCTTGGCCTCCCAAAGTGTTGGAATTACAGGCGTGAGCCACCGTGCCCAGCCTCTCCCCAAGTTTAAATGAACATTTTGCCCCCAGGGCCAGTCAGGTAGGCCTATACCTGTACTCCTGAAACCAAAGCTTGGAAACCTCTCGGTAATGCCTCCCAGTTCCCCGCGGGGTCAGCTGCCCCATCCCACACTAGGGCAATGAACTGGGCCTGACTTCCAGCAGGGGCAACATCCCCCAGGAGTCTGCCTGAATAAGAGGTGCACAGAGAGGAAACAGCAATGCCAGAAGCAAGTGGCTGAGCACAGTTCCTGGCAGAGAATCCGTCTTGTCTGTCACAGTAACAGAAATGTGGAGACAGAAACCTAGCAGGCCTCACCACATGCGGAGGTGACAGTGACTGCTACAAATAACACTTGCTGCTGGATGGAGGGAGGAGGGGCAGAGGAGGCAATGAAGGGACCCCTCTGGCTCTTTCCGCGTGGTCCCATGGCATGTAGGGGGAAAGATGGCACAGGACCTGCAAGTTACAAAAGCGCTGCTAGAGAGATCTGAGGTCAGCAGCACCACCATTGCTGATGAGCAGGCTAGGAACGCAGACCCAGGCCTGTGAACCAGAATCTGCATTTTCTTAAGATCAGTGATTGACACGCACAGGAAAGCGAGAGAGCCCAGCTGCAGAGTCTCAGAGAATCCAGGCACCCCCTTTCTAATCCCCCAGAGCACTGAGGCAGGGCATGATTTTTACAGCCTTTGAGCTGGTCCTCGGAGACTCCTAGGTGGGAGCCCATCCCTCCCTGACAAAGAGTCAACATTCCACATCTGAGATTCATCCATCTGCTTGTGCAACAAATCTGCACCAACAGCCTCTCTATGCCAGGCACTGTGCAGCAGTGAATGACACTGGCAAAGCCCTGGACCCACGGAGCTTACAGGCCAGTGGGGGATGACAGGACACACATAGATGATCAAGACTGTGCCAAACAAGATACAGTTGGAGAGAAGAAATAAGTTCTAGTATTTGCTAGTACAGCAGGGAAATTATAGTTAATAATTTCTTGTATCTTTCAAAAAGCTAGAAGAATTGTAATGTTCCCAACACAAAGACAAAGGTTTGAGGTAATGGATATCCCAGTTACCCTGATTTGATCATTACACAACATATGCAGTTATCGAAATATCACATGTATCCCAAAAACATGTATCACTATTACACAGCCATTAAAAAAACATGCAGCTAACAGTGGTGCATACTCAAGGAAATAAGCAGGGTGCTCTGGCAGTGATGGGGGCAGGGTGGGGAGGGAGTTTCTTGAGAGGGTGGTGGGGGAAGGCTTCTCTGAGGAGGTGACATTTGTGCTGAAACCTGAAGGGCACAAGGGCAGCTGTGCAAAGATTTGGGGGACAAGGGTTCTAGGTGAAGGGGAAGCCAGGCAAAGGCCCTGTGCAGAACTCGCTTGGGCAGTTTGAGGAACAGAAAACAGGTCAGGGTGGCTGAACAGTGAGAGTCACCGGGAATCTGGGAGGGGCAAGGTCAAAGATTCAGGCAAAAGTGAAACCTTCGAGGCCACAGTGGGAAGTCAGGGTTTTGGATTTTGTCACTGGAGGCTCTTATGCAAGGGAGAGGAGGATGGGACTTACAATTTTTTTTTTTTTTTTTTTTTTTGAGATGGAGTCTCGCTCTGTTGCCCAGGCTGGAGTGTAGTGGCGCCATCTCGGCTCACTGCAACCTCCGCCTCCCGGGTTTAAGTGATTCTTCTGCCTCAGCCTCCTGAGTAGCTGGGATTACAGGCGCCTGCCACCATGGCCAGCTAATTTTTGTATTCTTAGTAGAGACGGGGTTTCACCATGTTGGCCAAGCTGGTCTCGAACTCCTGACCTCAGGTGATCCACCTGCCTCAGCCTCCAAAAGTGCTGGGATTATAGGTGTGAGCCACCATGCCCAGCCACTAGGAGTTACAAGTTTTAAAGAACACTCCGGTGTCATATGGACCACAAAAAACAAGAGAGAATGCAGGCCATCGGGGCACAGGTACAGGGTGCGGCTCTGCTGGGACTGGGGTGTAACCTCCAAGGTGGAGGGAAGTGGATGGCTCGGGACATAGTTTGGAGGTAAAACCATTAGGCTGTGATGATGGGTTGGATGTGGAAGGAGGAAAGAAATTAAGGATGACTTGATCCTTGGTCAGAGTGACCAGGTAGGGGAGGTGGTGCCATTTACTGAGATGGGGAGCCTGGGGAAACATTCTTGGGGCTGAGGGGACGGAGCTGGATCAGATCAAAGGGTGTAGCCTGGAACATGGTGGAAATGCAGAGGGTGCGCCACAGGTTTGACAGAAGAGACTGGAGCCGAAGGCAATGTCGGAGGGGAAAATACTATCTTGGGAGCCCTCAGGGTAATGGTGCTTTTAGAGTTCTGGGACCAACCAGCTCCCCTGGGGAGTGGGCAGGCAGGAAGCATAGGGGTGAGGACGAGGCCTGAGACCCAGCGCCATTTAAAGGGACCCAGGAGGAGGGCGGGCAAGGCTGAGGTGGACAGATCACTTGAGGCCAGGAGATCGAGACCAGCCTGGGCAACATGGTGAAACCCCATCTCTACCAAAAATATGCAAATTAGCCGGGTGTGATGGCGCCGTCCTATAATCCCAGCTACTTGGGAGGCTGAGGCAGGAGAATCGCTTGAACCCCGGAGGCGGAGGTTGCAGTGAGCTGAGATCACGCCACTGCACTCCAACCTGGGTGACAGAGGGAGACTCTGTCTCAATAATAATAATAATAATAATAATAATAATAATAATAATAAAGCCGGTGGCGGGGGGGTGGTGTGCGGGGAGAAAAGCAGCCTGAGAGGTAGGAGGAAGGCTTGAGCTAAAAGGACGATCTGAGAAGGGAGAGGTTGGCTGTGCCAGGCCCTGCCCAGGGTTCCAGTAAAATGTGAATGGAGCAGAGGACACTAGAGGCTGAGAATGGCAGGGGAAGGAGAGTAGGGAGACGTTTGTTAAAAGTACAGAGTTACAGTTCTAGAGGAGGGATAAGTTCCATTGTTCTACATCACTGTAAGATGACTATCATTAACAATAATACAGAGTTTTCAGTAGCTAGGAGACTATCGAGTGTTCCCAAAATGAAGAAATGATAAATGCCGGAGATGGTGGATATGCTAATTACCCTGATCTATTCACCACACACCATCACTATGTAAAAATGTGACTAGAGAACTGATGCTTGGATTTGGCCAGTGAGAAGTTCCTGGTGGCCAGGCAAGGTGGCTCATGCCTGCCATACCAGCACTTTGGGGGTCTGAGATTGGAGGATTGCTTGAGGCCAGGAGTTTGAGGCTGCAGCAAACTAGGACTGCACTACTGCACTCCAGCCTGGGGAACAGAACAAGACCCCCATCTCTACAAAAAATAAAAATAGCTGGGGATGATGGCAGATGCCTGTGGTCCCAGCTACCTGGGAGACTGAGGTGGGAGGATTGCTTGAACCCAGGTGTTGGAGGCTGCAGTGAGTCAGGACTGCACCACTGCACTCCAGCCTGGGTGACAGAGTGAGACCCCTGTCTCAAAAAGAAGTCCCTGGTGACTGTGAGAAGTGTTTCAGCAGAACAGAGGGGCCAAGACATCATTGGGAGTGGCAACAGAGAGAAAGGGAGGCAAGAAAGGGAGTTGAGACCAGTCTTTGGAGGAAATAGACCAAAGGAAAGAAAGCCAGGATGTGTGGTCAAGCGGGTGCTTCCCTGCCCATGGGAAGGGCATTATTATGTCAGCTCCAGAAGCGAATGGAAAGGACCCAGCAGGGGCGTGGTGCGGGTGCTGTGGGTGAGGGGCTGTTTGTGAAGGCGAGTGCTTGAGTTGGCAGGAGGGGCTGGGATCCAGTGTTCAGGCGGTGTGCGGGTGAGGAGCTGGGATTGGAGGGCATGGCCTGTGTCAGAGCAGGGTCATGCCACTCACCATCCCAGCAGCAAGCTGAAAGTGTGGGTGCAGGTGGAGGCAGGCTGGTGACTTTGGGAATGGGAAGGGGAGGGAATTCTGTCCCCTGTGTCCTGAATGATTCCCCTGAGGGTTCTGAGTGGTACAGAGAATGCAGGCATAGGTACTACTGACTGGGGGACCTGTCTCCTCAGGAACCTTTAGAAACATTAATCCATTGCATTCTCACCACAACACTGAAAATCAGGCTGACGACTCTGATTTTAGATAGGCAGAAATGAAAAAGGCTCAGAGAGGTGAAGCGACTTGCCAAATGACACACAGAAAGTGGTCAAGCAGAACCCACACTCAGCCCGTTTGACTCAAACCTGAGCTCTTTCCAGGATTCTGAGCAACCTGGGTGAGAATTTGCAGTGTCTGGAGGATCTGGTCAGAAGGATTCTTACAGGTTCAGGGCAGCCCCAGACAAAGAGGGCTGGAATCAGGCCTCCTTGAGGCCAGCCTTGAGAGGAGGCAAAATTACATCATTCCTGGAGCCTGCCCATGGAGCTCATTCCAGGCCTCAGCCACGCGGGGTCAAATTTCCTCATTTCTCCCTCCCAGTGAAGACCTGTTTTGTTACTAAAATGAACACTGCATTTACTTTATTACAAGAAAACAGGGCTAGGAGAGGTTGCTCATGACTGTAATCCCAGTGCCTTGGGAGGCCCAGCTGGGAGACTTGCTTGAGGCCAGGAGTTTGAGACCATCCTGGGCAACATAGCTAGACCCGGTCTCTGCCAAAAAAAAAAAAAAAAAAATTAGCTGGATGTGGTGGTATGAGCCTGTGGTCCCAGCTACTGAGGAGGCTGAGGTGGGAGGATTGCTTGAGCCTGGGAGGTTGAGGCTGCAGTGACTGCACTCCAGCCTGAGTAACAGAGCAAGACTTTGTTTCTTAAAAAAAAGAAAAGGAAAACAAAATAGCAATAACAGTAATACCTTACATAAAGCGGCCCCACAGCAGAAGATGGACATGGGTCTACAGTAGAAGTGGGACTCGAAAGAGCAGCCTCTAAAGCAAAACAATTTAAAAAGTCTTTCCCGCAGGGCGCGGTGGCTTACACCTGTAATCCTAGCATTTTGGGAGGCCGAGACAGGTGGATCGCTTCAGCCCGGGAGCTCAAGACCAACCAGGGTAACATAGTGAGACCCTGTCTCTCCAAAAATCCAAAAATTAGCTGGGTGCATGCCTGTAGTCCCAGCTACTCAAGAGGCTGAGGCAGGAGGATTGCTTGAGCCTGGGAGGTGGAGGTTGCAGTGAGCTGAGATCGCGCCACTGCACTCCAACCCGGGTGCTAGAGTGAGATCCTGTCTCAAAAATAAAATACAGCAGTTGGGCGCGGTGGCTTGTGCCTGTAATCCCAGCAATTTGGGAGGTGGAGGTGGGCAGATCACCTGAGGTCAGGAGTTCGAGACCAGCCTGGCCAACATGGTGAAACCCCGTCTCTATTAAAAATACAAAAATTTGCTGGGCATGGGGGTGCGCGTGTGTAATCCCAGCTACTTGGGAGGCTGACACAGGAGAATCGCTTGAACCCGGGAGGCGGAGGTTGCAGTGAGCCAAGATCGTACTATTGCACTCCAGCCTGGGCAATGAGTGAAACTCCATCTCAAAAAAATAAATAAATAAAATAAAGTAAAATAAAATTGATAAAAGTCTTTCTCATTATCTTTATTTTACTTTATTTTTTGAGATGAGATCTTGCTCTGTTGCCCAGGCTGGAGTGCTGTCGCACAAACGGCTCACTGTAGCCTCAATCTCCTGGGCTTAAGCAATCCTCCTGCCTCAGCCTCCCAAGTAGCTGGGACACACAGGTGCTTGCCACCAAGCCCAGCTAATTTTTGTCTTGTTTTGTTTTGTTTTGTTTGAGACGGAGTCTCACGCTCTGTGGCCCAGGTTGGAGTGCAGTGGCACAATCTCGGCTCATTGCAAGCTCCACCTCCCGGGTTCACGCCATTCTCCTGCCTCAGCCTCCCGAGTAGCTGGGACTACAGGCGCCCACCACCACGCCCGGCTAATTTTTTGTATTTTTAGTGGAGACGGGGTTTCACCGTGTTAGCCAGGATGGTCTCGATCTCCTGACCTCGTGATCCGCCCGCCTTGGCCTCCCAAAGTACTGGGATTACAGGCGAGAGCCACGGCACCCGCCTGTCTTTTTTGTATTAATAGATATGGGGGTCTCACTTTGCTGTCCAAGCTGGTCTTGAACTCCTAGCCTCAAGGGATCCTCCAGCCTGGGCCTCTCAAAGTGCTGGGATTACAGGCTTCTTTCTTATCTTCAAAATATGTTTATTATGTTCCATGTTTGTTTTAATGTTGGACAATGTTTTCTCCAATTCTTCCAGGCAATCTGCTGCTCCAGGAAGATGCCCCCTGGTGTCCCAGCAAGTGGCTGGTATCTCCCTCGGGCACAGGTACCCGGAGAAGCACCGTCCAGTGTATCTTAGGGGCTTGGATTTCTTCCCCACATTATCTCAGATAATCCCCCCAAAGACGTGGGGGGGGTCTTTTCTAGTTTTCTCTTGAGATTGCCCCTCTCAGGAGACAAATACACCTACTCCAATGTCCTAATCTCAGCCCAAAGAGGATGGAGATGTGGCCTGGTCATGTATAAGAGCCCACACCTCCTAACACTGTACCCAGTGTACAGTGTTCATCGCACAGACGTTACCCATCGCACAGACGTTCAATGGCCCATGGCGTGTTCCTGGAGCCAGAAAGTACCAAGGCCGGCTGCCTCCCCACAATTTGAGAGATGCCAAGGGTGGACGCTCGGCCGCACACACACAATTAGGCATTTATTTTTCCCCAAATGCCAGAAGGGACAGAAGCTGCAAGGGGTGTTTAGATCATGTTTCAGCTGGGAAAACTGAGGCCCACTGAGTGGGTGCCAACAATATGCATTTTAAATGTGTTTTAGACTTGAAAAATAAACACAGTAGAACTCCCCTCCTGGCCCCCTCCTCGCCACACCATTTTATTTTTAATTTAAATTTAAGTTGCAGTACCCCAAAGGACCAGAAAATCAATAAAGGCAAATCTAAATTGAGGGGCATTCTTCGAAGCAAGTGGCCTGAAGTTTTTAAAAAGGTCAATGTCATTAGGAGTAAAAAAAAAGAAAAAAATAGAAAGAAAGAAAAGAAAAAAAAAGCCAAGGAACTCTTCTAGATTAAAGGAAACTAAAGAAACATGGCAACTAAACTACTGTGTGATCCTGTATTAGATTTGAGATAAAAATAAAAGCTATAAAAATATTATTGGGATGGCTGGGTGCGGTGGCTCACACCTGTAATCCCAGCACTTTGGGAGGCCGAGGTGGGTGGATCACGAGGTCAGGAGTTCAAGACCAGCCTGGCCAACATGGTAAAACCCAGTCTCTACTAAAAATACAAAAAAAAAATTAGCCGGGAGTGGTGGCATGCACCTGTAATCCCAGCTACTCGGGAGGCTGAGGCAGGAGAATCGTTTGAACCCAGGAGGCGGAGGTTGCGGTGAGCGGAGATCACGCCATTGCACTCCAGCCTGGGTGACAGAGCAAGACTCCGTGTCAAAAAAAAAAAAAAAAAAAAAAAAATATATATATATATATATATATATATATATATATATATATATATATAAAATTGGGAAAATTTGAATGTAGATTTTACAATAGGTAACAAATTGTGCCAATGTTAAGTTTCCTGCAAGTCATAACTATATTGTGGTCACATAGGAGAGTGTCCTTCTTAGGAATGGCCAAGTATTTAAGGATGAAGTGTCATGTCCGCAACTAACTTTCAAATGGTCCAGAAAAAAAGTAGTATGTATGCACATGCACCCCACCAACAAACACAGGGGCAGAGAAACTCAGTTTAGCAGCATGTTAACAGCTGTCATCCAAGCAAAGGATATATGTGGATTCATTGTTCTGCTCTTTTCTGAAGGTTGAAAATTTTCAAAATAAAAAGTTGGAGACCAAGTCAACTCTCTAGGTCTTTGTTTAGTAAAAGTGATCTACTCTTTATTCTTGCACCATCTGCAGCAGGAGCTTGGGCCCTCAGAGGTTTATAAACTGGATGGTGAGTTTAGAATCTCCACTGATATCCCAGTTCAGCCTCTGACACATGAAGCACCATAGGCCCTGCTAACCCAGAGTCCCCACTGGTTTCGACCGTGCTTTCTCGGAGAACATCTGCCCTCATGTGATTGTGTTTGTGTGTTTCCCACAGTTACTGTTTCAAAAATGCACTGCACTAGACTCATTAATGAGGGAAGCAGCAGGTAGGGATAACTCATCCAAAGGAGAAGGGGAGGGATCAAAGTCTATGTAATCAGGGAAAGAAAGGATGCTGAAATGAGACTGGAAAGGTATATACGAAGGTGGTTAATGTCCTACAGGTTCATAAAACCCAAATTTTTCCCTCCTGCTCAGCTTTAAAAAGACGGGATGTAAGGAGCCTCTCCAAGGTTTTGTCAAGCTCTAACTTGGTGAGTAGGTTCTAAAGATACATGTGGACTTGGGCGTCAGGGTTGGGTTAGGCAGGAGGTGGCCCGTGGGAAGTAGCACTTGCTGGCCAGCTCAGCTTAGCGTCTCTAGGGTAGGGATGGTCAGGGGTAGGAGGTAGAAGACACACGGTCCAGGGCAGACCAGGCTGAGGCAACGAACAAAAGGGGCTTCCATATCTGCACTGCTTCCATCCCCGCCACCTTTGGCTTAATCAGAGTTGAGTTATTTCCCAAAGACACAAATCGAGGATCTTACAGAAGCTCTGAGGCTTGGGATAAGTAGATTTTTTTTTCTCTTTAGAAGGGTGGGGGGGGTGTTGAAACATAGAAAAATATATTGGGGCCAGATATAAGTAGAAAGGCTGCTTCCCTGGGCTCTGAAACTCCCTCCTGCCACCACACCAGTGGGAGCATGGCACCCCACCCACACCTCCACCAGCACAGTGAATCACAGTGCTGTTTGTCAGGAAAAGTATTTTTAGAACTTATAAGTGCCATTGTCATGAGTGGTTTTAGAAATGCTTGTTTCAGGATGGATGAAATGAAGCGAGGGTGGGCTTAGATGTTCAGGCTGTAGGCCTCCTCCCCAGCAAGTTCTAGAGAGAGGCACAGGTTATCATCATTTTAAAAACTTCCAGGAAGACAAGGGTTTGGCAAAGCCCCTTCTGAATATGAGCAAAAGAGCCAATTTGGGCTCAGGCTCAGGTCTGGGTTCCCAGCAAACCCCATTTCTTTTCTTCTTTTCTTTTTTAGATAGGGTCTTGCTCTGTTGCCCAGCCTGGAGTGCAGTGGCACAATCTCTGCTGGCTGCAACCTCTGCCTTCTGGGTTCAAGTGATTCTTGTGCCTCAGCCTCCCAAGTAGCTGGGATTACAGGCATGCCCCATCATGCCAGGCTAATTTTTTTCTTTTTTTTTCAGTAAAGATGGGGTTTCGCCATGTTGGCCAAGCTGGTCTTGAACTCCTGGCCTCAAGTGATCTGCCCACCTCGGCCTCTCAAAGTGCTGGGATTCCAGGCCTGAGCCACTGCACCGGGCAAACCTCACTTCCTTTGCCATCAGGGGACTGCGTGCGTAAGCATAGCCTAGCAAGAAGCTGCTGGTTCCAGCCAGGTGAGGGAGGGCAAGAGGAACTGACAGGAAAAAGGCAAACTGGATCCCTACCTCACTCTAGACATCAGTCAATTCTACGAATTAAAAATCAAATACACAAAAATAAAACAGAACAGTTTCACAATCTTGGGCGGGAAAGCATTTATAAGCATTACACCAAAGGCTGAAGCCATAAAGGAAAAGAATGATGAATTGGCTATAAAAATTTTTAAATTTGGTATCATGAACAAAGTTAAAAATAAATAACAAGCTGGAAAAAATTTAATGTATGTCAAAAAGTTATATTTCTGGTTCTTAAAAAATACTCAATAGAAGTAAACATAGCCAGGGTGGAGAATGTCGACAGGCAATTCATGAAGAACGCCCTCTTAGTGACCAAAAAATGTACTTTAAGAAGTTAAACTGTATTATAATTCAAAAGAGGGGTTCTAATTTTAGCCTCTCAAATTTAAAGGATCTGAAAACTCAGCAACACCAGTATCAAAAGGGTAGCAGGAATCTGACGCAATCCTGATGGGATTCCTGCAGAGGAATTTGGCAGATTAGTATTAGGCAGTTTTAATATTTTGCATCCTTTTCTTTTTTTTTTTTTTTGAGACAGAGTCTCACTCTGTTGCCCAGGCTGGAGTGCAATGGCACGATCTCAGCTCACTGCAACCTCCGCCTCTTGGGTTCAAGGGATTCTCCTGCCTCAGCCTCCCGAGAGGCTGGGATTACAGGCATGCGCTATCACGCCTGGCTAATTTTTGTATTTTTAGTAGAGACGGGGTTTCACCACGTTGGTCAGGCTGGTCTCAAACTCCTGACCTCAGGTGATCCACCTGCCTCCACTTCCCAAAGTGCTGGGATTACAGGCATGAGCCACCGCGCCCAGCCTTTGCATCCTTTTCATAAAACAGTTTCCACTTGCCTGAATTTACCGTCTGGGTTGGCAAATTTTTTCTGTAAAGGGCAGACAGTAAATATTCTAAGCTTTGCAGTCCATTTGGCCTCTGTGGCAGCTTTTCAGCTCTGCCACTGTAGTGTGAAAACAGCCACAGATAAGATGTGAACAAATGGGTGTGGCTGTGTTCCAGTAAAACTTTATTTACAATAACAAGCTCCTAGATTTGGCTCGTGGGGTCTGTAATTTGCCAACCTCTGATTTACTTTAAAGCAACGATTGCTGCTGTGGGGAAATACTTAGCTATAAGAATGATTATTACACTGCTTTTGTTCATTCCCCAAATTACGTTAAAAATATATATATACACCTGGCTGGGCATGGTGGCTCACGCCTGTAATCCCAGCACTTTGGGAGGCCGAGGCAGGTGGATCACGAGGTCAGGAGATCGAGACCATCCTGGCTAACAGAGTGAAACCCTGTCTCTACTAAAAATACAAAAAAATTAGCCAGGCGTGGTGGCGGGCACCTGTAGTCCCAGCTACTTGGGAGGCTGAGGCAGGAGAATGGCGTGAACCCAGGAGGCGGAGCTTGCGGTGAGCCGAGATTGCACCACTGCACTCCAGCCTGGGCGACAGAGTGAGACTCCGTCTCAAAAAAAAAAAAAGTGTATATACGCCCAACAATAAGAAACTGGTATATAAATTTGGTTGTCTTCATGTGATGAAATATCATGTTGCCATTTAAAATTTAAAATGGCAGCATGGCTACCTTGTTATATAGAATTAAGCATGATAGAAAATAGCATATAAATAAACTATTAAATATAAAGAGAGTTTAATGGGCCAGGCATGGTGGCTCACACCTCTAATCCTAGCACCTTGGGAAGCCAAAGCAGGCAGATCACCTGAGGTCAGGAGTTCGAGGCCAGCCTGGCCAACATAGTGAAACCCCGTCTCTACTAAAAATACAAAAATTAGCCAGGCATGGTCGTGGGCGCCTGTAATCTCAGCTACTCGAGAGGCTGAGGCAGGAGAATTGCTTGAACCCGGGAGGCAGAGATTGCAGTGAGCCGAGATCACACTGCTGCACTCCAGCCTGGGCAATAAGAGCAAGACCCTGTTTCAATAAATAAATAAATAAATAAATAAAATAAGGAGAGTTTAATAGGGTTATCATGACAAGATTAACACCAAAAATGAAAACCTATCCTATACATCAGTTGTAACCAGTTATAAAATATCATAGCAAAAAGATCCTACACATATCAGCACAAAAACTCCAAATATAGTCACCCTAAGAAGAAAGTGTGCATAACCTATTTAAGAAAATTATAAAACTTTCCGGCCAGATGCGGTGGCTCACACCTGTAATCCCAGCACTTTGGGAGGCCGAAGCAGGAGGATCACCTGAGGTCAGGAGTTTGAGACCAGCCTGGCCAACGTAGTAGAACCCCATCTCTACTGAAAATACAAAAAATTAGCCGGGCATGGTGGTGGGCACCTGTAGTCCCACCTACTAGGGAGGCTGAGGCAGGGGAATCGCTTGGACCTGGGAGGCAGAGGTTGCAGTGAGCAGAGATCCAGCCACTGCACTCCAGCCTGGGCAATAACAGCAAAACTCCATCTCAAAAAACCCAAAAAACCAAAAAAGAAAAACAACAGAAAACTTTCCTAGAGGGCATAAAAGGCCAGAATAAATGAAAAGATATATGCATTCCTGGATGACAGAATGCAATATTGTAAAGAAGCCAATTTCCTTCAATTAATGCACAAATTTAATTTCAAATATGATCTCCTACAGGATTTGCAATAGAGCTTGACAAAAAGGCTGTTCCAGAAAAGAAAATATGTAAGAATAACAAAAAAACAGTTTTTTTTATTTGTTTTTGTGTGTGTGTGTATGACAGAGTCTCACTTTGTCGCCAAGGCTTAAGCGCAATGGCGTGATCTCAGCTCACTGCAACCTCCGCCTCCCGGGTTCAAGTGATTCTCCTGCCTCAGCCTCCCAAGTAGCTGGGATTACAGACATGTGCCACCATGCCTGGTTAATTTTTGTATTTTTAGTAGAGATGGGGTTTCACCATGTTGGTCAGGCTGGTCTTGAACTCCTGACCTCGGGTGATCCACCTGCCTTGGCCTCCCAAAGTGCTGGGATTACAGGCATGAGCCACCGCACCTGGCCTTAAAGGTTAAAGAAACAAAGAAGGATGAGAGAGCCTTTCCCTATCAGATATCAAACTATAAACAAGAGTAACTGAAACTATGGTTTTGGCTTAAAAGTAGGTAGACAAACAGATCAATATAACAGACCAGAGTCCAGAAAGAGACCTACGTATATAAGGTAAGTTAGCATACAATAAAGATAAAATTTCAAATCAATTGAGAAAGAGGGACTATTCAACATTAGGAACTCAAAGTACTGGCCATATTGAGGAAGTAAGAGTGCCAGATCTCTACTCCCACCAAAAGCAAAAATAAGCTCCAGGTGGATAAAAGAGCTAAGCATAAATACTTCTTTTTCTCAAAAGTATCTGAAAACTATATATAGGAGAATATGTTTATAGCCTGGAGGTACAGAAGGCACAAAATGATACACAAAATGCAAATGGCATAAAAAGGTTGATAAATGATGACATCAGAATTAACATTCTGTGTAATAAAACACTCCTAAAACAAGATTAAAACACAAGCAAAATCCATAAAGATTGATAATCAGGATATATAGAGATTTCAACCTGTTGCTGTGGCTCACACCTGTAATCTCAGCACTTTGGGAGGCCGAGGTGGGCAGATCACCTGAGCACAGGAGTTCAAGACCAGCCTGAGCAACATGCAAAACCCTGTCTCTACCAAAAACAAAACAAACAAACAAACAAACAAAAAAACAAAAATTAGCTGGATGTGGTGGCGTGTGCCTGTGGTACCAGCTAATTGCGGGGCCGAGGCAGGTGGATCGCTTGAGCCCGGGAGGCAGAGGTTGCAGTGAGCTGAGATTGAGCCACTGCACTCCAGCCTGGGCAGTAGAGCGAGACTGCCTCAAAAAACAAACAAGCAAAAAACAGAATATACAGAGATTTCTTATAAATCAATAAGGAAAAGACAAACAACCATATCGAAAATGGGCAAAGAATATGAATAGC
Source organism: Homo sapiens (assembly GCF_000001405.40). Lineage (NCBI taxonomy): Eukaryota > Metazoa > Chordata > Mammalia > Primates > Hominidae > Homo > Homo sapiens. The sequence continues at coordinate 518,390 of NW_025791803.1, read as the reverse complement.
TAATTCGTAAAAGCAGAAATCCAGAGGGTATGGGAAGATAAGAAAAAGATGGTCCGCCTCCCTAGGAAGCTGGGCAGCACAGAGGACGGCAGCAATGGGCTTTCCTCCCCTCAGGCTGCTAGGCCGGAGACCAGCAGGTGGATGGATGGCTTCCGGGGTTGGCGAAGGCCATGGGGAAAGGGGCAATCTCATATAGTGCTTGGGTGATACAAATGGTACAGGCTTTGTGGAAGAAAATTTCATCCGTATCTGTTAAAAAACAAAATCTACATACCCTTTGACACAGCAATTCTGCTTCCAGATACCTAGTTCTAGAAATACTTAGAGACACACCCAAGGAGCATGGATAACGATGCTTGCTGTGGGTGCTGTCCTGGGGGTGAAAAGGAGGAGCTCAGCCTGAGCCCTGAAGCCACTGGGTGGACATGGGGCTGGCTGTCATGAAGGGTGAGGTTCAGGCAGTGGTAGAGGGTGAAGGGCCCCCAGGAAGCTCAGTGCAGGTCCTTCTCCTTTGGGCTGGGGCAGAAGGAGTCAGGGAGGCTTCCTGGAGGAGGCGGTACCTAAGTAAAAATTTTTTTTTTAAGAGAAGCAGTCTCACTATATTGTCCAGGCTGGTCTCAAACTCCTGGGCTCAAGTAATCCTCCCACCTCAGCCTCCCAAAGTGCTGGGATTACAGGCATGAGCCACCACTCCCGGCAAGTAAGTCTTAAAAAGGTGAGTAGACGTTAGCTCCTGACAAGGAAGCGGGAGGGAGGACATCCTAGGAGAAAGATAACACTCAGAGGCAAGAGAGAACATGGCTTTCTCAGGAAACGGGGAGCGGTTTGGTATCGCCAGTTTTAGGTGTGAGATGCACCATGGTGAGAGATGAGGCTAGAGTAGTGGGTAGGAGCTGATGTTGGTTTTCATCCCTTGGTAAGGACGGGTCCCAGGAGCGGGATGGGGGTGTGGAGAGAGGAAGGCTGAGGACAGGAGGACGCCCGGTCAGTGGGTGGCAGTGGCTGTGATGGAAGGGGGAGGCAGGGGTGAGTGGGGAACAGAGGACTCAAGGCAGCTGCATGAGGAGGCGCTGAGGATGACTCTCTGGGTTGGAGGCTACTGACACCATTTGCTGGCGTGGTGGCTACACAGGAGGGGCAGGTGGCTGGATGCCCTCTCCATTTCATCCACCATAGGGTGGATGAACAGGGCCCAGGGCCTTACAGCACTTGTAGGATTAGGGTTCACATTACTGCCTGCTGAGGGGTGACCACGGGCCCCTAGCAACTATCCCATTGCCTTTAGCACCCGAGTGTCGGGCTCTCCACGTGTCTCCATGCCCCCTCCCCACGGGGGCCCCTATAGCATATGGACTGGGGGCTGATGGGCAGCCTGAGCAGGACAGTCTCAGAGGGACTCCCAGGGCGATTCCAGGGACCCCATGCATGGACCCAGGGAACCTGGGGAGTCCTTCAGGACACACCTAACATTCCCTTTGACCAGAAGCAAATTTCCCTGGGTCAGGAAACTCTCTCAACAGCCTGCTCAACAGTTGGGGTTCCCAAGCCTCAAAGTTTCCCTCTGCCAGGGTCTCGCAGGGCTCTGGGGACGCAGGTGGAGCCACATCCAGTAAGGTCAGGAACTGGTGCATCCAGGCATCAACTGCCCGGGATAGACTTGCACTGGCCTGAGGTCTGGACAGCAACCCCAGGGGCCCCTGCTTGATGCCCAACGCTAGAGGCTTCTCGGGGCCTGGGAGGGGGTCAAGAAGGGCAGGGTGCTCTCAGGGGCCAGGTGGCAGCTGCTGGCCCACCAGCCAGCACTCAAGCATTCACTGCTTTAATTACGAGCCACATCCAGTGGTTAAGTCAGAGGTCTCCGTCCACACCCTGAGGGGAGGGGGCTGTGCCCGAAAAACAAGCTTCACCTCCCAACATACACGCATGGCACAGGGATGGAGCGCCTGCCATCCCATCTGTGTGTCATCCCCACACCTCCTCAAATCATGCCTCAGGTTTGCGTTCCCTGGGGGCATCTGGGAAGCCTACGTAGTGATCCAGGCACCCGCTTCTTCTCAGTCTCAGACTGACCCCTAGGGGACAGCTAAGACACAGCAGGGCGCAGAGAGCCGGGCCTGAGAAATTCGGACCTGCCCAGTCCAGCCCACTCTGACACCTCATCTGCAGAGCTGTGGTCTTGACCTTGCTATTACAGGAGCCTAAGCCAGGAAGAGGACTCATTCACAATCCAGAAGCCGTCTGCCCCGTCAGGCTGGTCTTCGGATTGTGCCCCCTTCCTCTCCCTGCCAACACGCAGAAGCCCATGGTAGGGAATGGAGTCCAGGTCAACCAAGCAGCCCCAGCGAGCATAATGAACAAGGCTGCCACTGTGTCCACAGCTACCGCCATCTCACTAGGCTCTGGCCAACCAAGCCGGGGCCAGACCTCCATGGAGGGCAGAAAGGAGTTCACCCACGAGAAGCTTAAAATCCAAAGCATTGGGAGGCCGAGGCGGGTGGATCATGAGGTCAGGAGATCGAGACCATCCTGGCTAACATGGTGAAACCCCATCTCTACTAAAAATACAAAAAAAAATTAGCTGGGCATGGTGGCGGGCACCTGTAGTCCCAGCTACTCAGGAGGCTGAGGCAGGAGAATGGCATGAACCCGGGAGGCGGAGCTTGCAGTGAACCGAGATTGCACCACTGCACTCCAGCCTGGGCGATAGAGCAAGATGCCGTCTCAAAAAACAAAAAAAACAAAAAAAACAAAAAACAAAAAAAAACAAAAAAAAAACAAAAAACAAAACCCAAAGCAACAAAAACCTATAGGATTGCAAAGTCCCATGAAGAAACAAGGAGAAGCACCAGGCTTGCTGAGATAGGCTGACGCGGTCTTTCTTTCTGCTTTCCCATAACCTCTAGACTTTGGAGGAAAGCAATATCGGTTTACAAAAAAGAGTACCTTGGTGGAGGCCCACTCTTCTGCACCCCCTGCTCATCTTTTCTCCATGTGCCACCTTTTCCAGAGGTGTGAATGGCAGAATGTGGGGGCCACAAAAGCAGCCAAAGACTACAGGGAACACGTCACCCCTACCCCAACTCCCACCCCCTCTCCCCAGGCCTCGGCTCCACTCTGCCCTCCAGTTCCTGGGGCAGGGCTTTACTTTAACATAATTTTGCAACACCAGTATCCGAGGGTAAACTGAAAAATGCAAATGGTAACTTCAGCACCATTTTCTTACAGCAGCAGGCGGCGAGGAATTAGCACGTATTAGGGGTCTGTCTTCCCACTGAACTTTCACAACAGACCCTCCAGATTGGCACAGCAAGCCTTGTTTTACAGTTGAGGACACTGACGCTCAGCGGGGTTGAGAAGAACGTGCTCAGGTTCCATGGCCTGTCCTGGGTGGCCCACGTGGGTATGGACCCAGTCCTGCACACCTCTGCACGCTGCCTCCTGCTCAGCAATCCAGGAAGGGCCCCCCCAGCAAAGTTCCTGGGGCACTCAGTATTTGTCCCACAGTGGAGGTCCTCTTTCCTAATCCTGGTTCCATTAGCTGGCCCCAAATACATATTCAACCCCTGCTTGCTGGACCCATCAAGACAGGCCTGGAGCCATCACTGCTGGCATGGGCATGGGCCTGGGGCCCAGCTATCTCCACGCATCCCTGAGGGCTCTTGCTTTGAGCACAGCAGCCTGAGGCCTAGCCACCTGACTCCCAGCCTGGGGGCCCTGGCCCACAGTTGGTGCCTGGCTTTGGTCTCTGCCACCATGGACTTGGCAGCCCTCAGCACTGTGTCCCTCTCTGTGGACTGTCCCTCCTCCAGTCCTGCCCAGGGAACCTAACCCTGACCCCACGACCCAGCTGGATTCCAAGAGGCCTACCATCAGCCAAAGTGGCCTCTGGGGTCCTGGATCTCCTTCAGCTATAAACATACTCATGTTTTGGGGTCCAGAGGAGGCACCCATCAGAACTGGGGAAAAGGTTTGGGGGTTGGGCTGGGTAAGAAATCAAAATCATCCTCTTCTAGTTCTGGGTGTTGCCACCAGGAGGGACCTCGCTGGTTGTCAGCTTGTGCACCTTCAACTGTTTCTCTGTAGGATGAAGCTGCACTGCTTGGAAAACTAGTTCAAAGTTTCATAAGAAACACACCATTAGGCAATGATAACAGAAAAACAGAGCCTTGGGGACTGTGGTCTTTGTCCCGCTTCCTGATACAGAGCTTCAGGATGGGGTTGGTCACCAGAAAGACCAAGCATACAATAAGGTGGGAACTTTCTCACCTTCCCACCTACCCCCAACCTCCAGGCAGAGGAGAGGGGCTGGAGACTGGGTTGTAAAAACTGTTTAATTTTTGGAGATGAGTCTGGCCCTGTCACCCAGGCTGGCTGGAGTGCAGTAGCACAATCACAGCTCACTGAAGTCTCAAACTACTGGGCTCAAGTGCTCCTCCCACCTCAGTCTCCCCAGTAGCTGAGATTACAGGTGTGCACCACCACATCCAGCTAATTTTAAGTTTTTATGTAGAGACGGGGTCTCATCATCTTGCCCAGGCTGCTCTCAAACTCCTGGGCTCAAGCTGTCCTCCTGCCTCAGCATCCCAAAGTGCTGGGATTACAAGCATCAGCCATCACGCCAGGCCTACAAATTCTTGAACAATGAGATGCAGAGAGCCCGGGTGCTGGTAGCACGGTGATGTGCTGGGAGGCAGCGCCCCTAAGCGAAGGTGCGGAAGCTCTGCATCCCTGCTCCCCATACCCTGTCTTGTACATCTCTTCCGTGTGGCTAATCCTGAGTTGTATCCTTTGTAATACACTGATCATCGTAAGTACAACCATTTCCTGAGTGTTTCCAGTGAATTACCCAGCCCGAGGGAGGTGGTCCTGGGAACCCTGTGTTTGCAGTTATCCAGGAAGAACTGCAGCTGGCGTGGGAGGTGGGGCAGTCTCATGGAGTTGACCTTGACTCATGGAGTCTGTGCTAATGCTGGGTAGTTAGTGGCAGGTGGAACTGATTGCTGGACACCAGTTAGTGTCAGAGAATTGGAGAATTCGTTGTTGTTTGAAAACAAACAAACAGGAAGCGTTCAGCTCAGAGAGCGATGGTGCAGAAGAAAAGGAAACAATTCTAGTCCTGCCTCCCCTCCACTTGCCACTTTCCCTGTCTGGAACTCAGTCTCTCCTCCGTGCCACAGATGGGAAATAAAGTTGCTGGGTGAGGACCCCCAGCTGTTACACATTCTGCTGGGGCTTCCCAAGGGGACTCAGGGCTCCTGTTCCAAAAACTATTTCTTGACTCTGATGCTCAAGAAGGGTCCTCAGAGGGAGGTTCTGGGTCCTCCCAGATACTGAAAATGGAGCAAAGGCAAGACCAAGAAGGAGGAGGCAGAGCCATGGAGGTCCTTGAGGCCCCCCAAGCCTTACCTGCTCCACGCAGTCTGGGATCTCTGGCGCGCACGGCAGCGTCCCCGCGCTCTCCACCGACAGCACATCCTTCAGCAGCTCCTCGCACCCTGCGCAGACAGGCAGACACACGGGACAGTGAGGGGTTGAGCCTCAGCCTGGGACGGCTGCTCTGCTTCTGACTAATGGGCATAGGGTGGGAAGGGCTGAGGTGGGGGCCCGAGGCTCCAGGAGGCCAGCTGAGCACTGGAAGGCAGGGATGGAGCCCAGGCGGTGGGGAACTCAGCTCAAGGCACTGTGGAGGGAGCTGCAAGAGGCCCTTGTCCTCTGGGACTAATTCCCACACACAGAGGGCAGGCTGGGGCAACAGGAAGGAAGGAGGCCTTCCTGGGGGAGGGGACCTAAGGCAGTGCTGCCCACCTGGCTTGCAGGGACTCCAAACGACTGTGCCAGCCTCTGGAGAAAGCAAACACACCCATTCCTCCGAGGCTGGGCGCCCCCCGTGTCCTGCAGACCCTGGGACGTCCAGGACAGGGCTGCCCGCAGGACAGCTGCAGTTCCTGCTGACTCTGTACACGGCTGGCCTCGCTCCTGAGATCCCAACCAAACGCCCCAAGGTTGTACTGAACTGGGAGGGGGACCTGACAAAATGCCTGGCACAGGCACATGGCAGGTGCAGCCTGCAGTGGCCCATTGTCAAATCCACGCAGAAAACCTTCCCTGGGCACCTTCTGTGTTCTGTGCCCCCTGCACCGTGTATTTGGTTCCCTTCATCCCTCACCCTGCATCGTTCCACCCTCCCAGGACTCATAGGCACCCCACAGAAAAGGGCTAAACTTGATCTGAGCCGCAGACAGGAAACCATGGCTTCCTTCACAGATAAGCAGACACCCTGGGACTCCAGAAGTGACTGCATTCTCTCTGCAGCTAGTGGGGAGGCCTTAGCAAGTCCACCTGGCTGGTGACCTATGCCACTGTCTCAGATTTTTTTCTTTCTTGAGACAGGTTCTTACTCTGTTACCCAGGCTGGAGTGCAGTGGCGTGACCTCAGCTCACTGCAGCCTCAACTTCCTGGGCTCAGGTGATCCTCCCACCTTAGCCTCCCAGGTAGCTGGGACCACAGGCACACACCAGAATGCCCGGCTAATTTTTTGTATTTTTTGTAGAGATGAGGTTTCGCCATGTTGGCCAGGCTGGTCTCAAACTCCTGGACTCAAGTGATCCACCTGAGATCAAGCAATCCGCCTGCCTCGGCCTCCCAAAAAGTGCTGAGACTATAGGTGTGAGCCACCGTGCCTGGCCCTCACTGTCTCAGATAAACAGCTTAGTAGTAAGTGAGTGGCCATATTCTGATTCCTGCAAGTTTCTCACAACTGGCCTTTGAATTTTTGGGACAAGACAGAGGGATTTATATTGTCCCCTTAAAACTGGAAGCAGGGGCAAGGAAGAAAGGCAGGAATTAGGAAGAATTAAGAGGAAGAGAGGGCAGGGCATGGAGGCTGATGCCTGTAATCCCAGAACTTTGGGAGACTGAGATGGGAGGGTCACTTGATCTCAGGAGTTCAAGACCAGGCTGGACAACGTGACAAAACTCCATCTCTACTTAAAATACAAAAATTAGCCAGGCATGGTGGTGTACCTCCTGTAGTCTCAGCTACTCAGGAGGCTGAGGCAGGAGGATTGCTTGAGCCGAGGAGGTTGAAGCTGCAGGGAGCCATGATAGTGGCACTGCACTCCAGTAGCCTGGGCGACAAAGCCAGACCCTGTCTCAAAAAAAAAAAAAAAAAGAGGAGGCGGGAGCAGGGAGGACACAAAAGCAGCAGCTCAGAGGGAGGCGGGCAGTCATGTGACCAGCGCTTTGTCCAGGTTTGCCCAGGACTGCCCTGGTCTTAAAAGTGGAGTCCCTCCCACATCCCAGGAGACTCACTGGGTTTGGTCACCCCAGAGCGGGAGAGAGAGGAAGAGGACAGAAAAGCAGGGAAGGAGGCTTTCTCCAGAGGCGGGCAGACAAGGGGAAGGGCAGAAGTGACTTCCATGGGTGAGACCACAGCCCCCCACGGCTGGGGCAACAGTGTCCTTCTCCTCTGGCCCCCCCGGAAGCCAGAGGCAGAACCGACTTCTGGCCCATCCTGGGCTCTGGGACCCCTGTGGGGAGGAATCCAGGCTGGGCCCCCAGTCACACCAGCTTCCCCAGCTGGGCAGGACCGGAGAGCGCCTGGGAAAGCCTCCCGGGAAGACCTCACCTTTCATGGCGAACACCCCCCGGCAAAAGTCCTTGAAGTTGATTCTCCCCAGGTCGTTGGGATCCAAATATTTCACAAGTTTTTCCACCTGTGGGAATGAAGCAGGGACAGGTGTGAGACACCCAAGGATCTCCCGAAGACTCAGGGAGCTGGGTGGGGAGGCTGGGAGGGAGGGAGGGACACCAGTGTCCCCGCCCAGTCCTCTTACCCTCACCCTGGGGTCAGTATCAGCCATGGGGCCACTTTATTCTCCCCATGGTGACAGACAACTCGGGCAAAGAAAAGCAGAGCCAACACCGGCTCCTCCCTGAGCACACCCTCCCTGAGCACACGGCTTCAGGGGCCGAGCCTCCTTCCCCCAGGGACTGCACAATGAAAGCCGAGGCTCTGCCGATGTTTTAAAATTGGTTTCTTTCACACAAAACAGACACAAACTCATTGTAAATGACCCAGAAATCCCACCATTTCTCTTGTTCTATTTCTTGTTCCAGGTGCTGGCTAGATGGGGAAACTCACTGAGATGGACACTGGTGGCTGATGAACTTTTCTGTTCTATTTGTACCTTGCACTTCAATGAAGAGTGTTAGATGAATAAGGAAGTAAGTTTTCACCTGGCAGAGTCAGCCATCCCTGAGGTTGGAGAGTTTCTCTCCCGTGTAACAGGAGGTAGGACAGAAACAGTTTCCATGCTGCTTGGTGTGTACAACCCACGTTGTTAGTGGCTGTAACACATTCTGCCCGGTGGGTTCATCATAATTTACTTCACCACCCCTAATAGCTGGGCATTTTGGTTATTTCCAGCTTTTTGCTTTTACAATTCATCTTTGGGGGTTCCTGCAGCTGTGTGGATGACCCATCAACCCCCGGCCTCTCAGATCCTTGACTTTCTTTTTGCCTCATATTCCACCTCAGGCACCAAGTCCCTTGGTCAACCCAGTGATCACCCCCTCCAATACCACCCATCAAATGTCCCACTCCCTGACCCCGTCCTCCCTCCCTTCCTGCCACTGCAGGGTTCTTCAGCATCACTGCGTCTGCTCACTGTCACTCACATTCAATCCATGCTCCCACTGTATCCCACAGCTCCCTCATTTCCCACACCTCTCAGGAGCCCCACCTGGTCATAGCCATCATCCTGTCTCTCCTGGATCATGCAAGTCTAACTGGATCGTGTCACCCACTCCTCTGCTTAAAACCTTCCAGTATCATTCCACCACACTTAGGATAAAAATCCAAACTCCAGGGCGGGCGCGGTGGCTCACACCTGTAATCCCAGCACTTTGGGAGGCCGAGGCGGGTAGATCACGAGGTCAGGAGATCGAGACCATCCTGGCTAACATGGTGAAACCCCATCTCTACTAAAAATACAAAAAAAATTAGCCGGGCGTCGTGGCGGGCGCCTGTAGTCCTAGCTACTCGGGAGGCTGAGGCAGGAGAATGGCATGAACCTGGGAGGCAGAGGTTGCATTGAGCTGAGATCACGCCACTGCACTCCAGCCTGGGCGACTGAGCAAGACTCTGTCTCAAAAAAAAAAAAAAAAAAAAAAATCCAAACTCCACAACACGGCCCACAAGGCCCCATGTGATCTGACCCCTTCCACTCCCTCTCCTCCCATGCTCTTCATCACTCACTGTACTCTAGCTGCACTGGCCTTTGGTCAGCTCCTCACGGAAACCACCACACTCTTCTCTGCCCCAGGGCCTTTGCACATGCTATTCCCTACAACTTGGACAGCTGTCCTCCCCATTCGCCATGTCAGTTCATCCTTCAGGTCTCCCTTTGTACCTCTATGAAACGTCCCTCCCTGAGACAGGTCTGTCCTGACCACCCCCATCCAATCAGGGCCCACCCCGCTGCTATCCTGTCTTGTAGCATCCTATACTTTCCCTTCAAACAATTTGTTGCAACTTGCTATTGTTAACTAAAAAGAGATTGACATGGAGGTCAAAGGAAATAGCGTTTATTTGGGAAACAAAGAATTGCAATTCAGGTACACGGGATCAGGACAGCCCCGAAGAGCATCCCAGGAGGCAAGTGGAGGAAGGATTCTTTTTTTTTTTTTTTTTTTTTTGAGATGGAATCTCGCTCTGTTGCCCAGGCTGGAGCGCAGTGGCGCAATCTCAGCTCACTGCAAGCTCCGCCTCCCAGGTTCAAGAGATTCTCCTGCCTCAGCCTCTCCTGAGTAGCTGGGATTACAGGCGCCCGCCAACATGCCCAGGTAATTTTTGTATTTTTAGTAGAGAGGCTGTTTCACTATGTTGGCCAGGCTGGTCTCCAACTCCTGACCTCAGGTGATCTGCCCACCTTGGCCTCCCAAAGTGCTTGGATTACAGGCGTGATCCACCACGCCCAGCCAGGAGACCAATTTTTACGGAGGATTTCCACAGAAAGTTGTTTTCAGAGGCAGCTCATTGGCTGGGCAGAAATCCTAGATTGCAAAGCCTTTCTGACTGGTGAGCTAGTCAGGGCACTCGCAGCTGAGAAATGCTGGAGACTGGCAGATCATGACTTCGGTTGCACACCCAAGTCTATTGGGATATTGTGTGGTTTGAACTTTAGCAGGTGTGAGTATCTCCCGACCTCACTGCAGAAAGCCTTAGCCTTAGTTTCTCCATACTCTTTCATGTAGTTGTATGTGTGTGGGATAATTTGATTAATTTATATCTTCTCTCTACAAAGTAAGCTCCCTAAGGGCAAGGACCCTGTCCATTCTGATCACCACTGTATACCTGGTCGCTTGCACCGTGACTGGTACATAGTAGAGGCTTCATAATATTTGTTTTTGCTCACACCTACAATCCTCTCCAAGGTCAGGAGAACCTCTGACCTTCAAGGTGGAGGTTGCAGTGATCCAAGATCGCGCCACTGCACTCCAGCCTGGGTGACAAGAGTGAAACTCCGTCTCAAATAATAATAATAATCATCATCATCATCATAATAATAACAACTTTTTTTTAAGAGCCATGTCCTCACATTATTGCCCAAGCTGGAGTGCAGTGGCATGATCATAGATCACTGCAGCCTCAAATGCCTGGGCTCAAGGGATCCTCCCACCTTAGCCTCCCAAGTAGCTGGGACTACAGGCACGCCACCACGCCTGGCTCAGAAGCCTGCTTCTAAATCTAAAACTGCTTCTAAAACTTAGTGGCAGCCCTCCCACAGCACCCATACAAGCATTCATTCATTCATTCACTCACTTATTCAACAAGTGATGACTGAGCACCTCTTACATGCCAGGCACTCTTTCAGGGGTTGATGGTGGTAGGTGCTGGTTCTGCTGGCTAGCCACACATACACAATAGTGCATACACATGTGTACACGCTCACACTCCTTGTCAGGCATCTTGCCGCTCCCCCTAATAATCACCATCAGTATCTATAGCACAGCCAGGCCAGGATGAGCTCTTTCCAGAATCTGCTCAGGCTGGGCTGCAGATGATGGATCTGAGGGCACCCGGGGCCTGCAGAGCACAGCATGCAGGAAACTGCTCACAGTCACTGTTGTCAGTGTTCACGCCATCACAGGCAGACTCGCCGGCATACCACACCACCCATCACAGGCACCGAAGCCAAACCACGTTGGGGATTCATCTATTTATAGGGACCACGTTTTTCTTGCATGCCCACAGCGTGGCAGCTGCAGCAGGGGTCTGAAGCCCTGGTCACTGCCGGTGGCCTGGCACCATGGGGGCTGTGCCCAGTGGGCTTTGGAAGGTGAGCAGTGGACAAAGAGGCCCCACCCTAACCATCTTCTCCTTGCCTGGAACCTGGCGGCTCTGTGCTTGCATCTTGATTCCAGCTGACCCTGCTTTTCCACTCTGGGGTGAGTCTGGGGTGAGGGAAGGGCAGAGGGGCCGTGCCACATTCTTTCTGTGAACCTCCCTGAACCTGGTACCTAGTGGGCTCTCAGGAAAGACCTGCAAAATTTCAGTAAAGGAGGAAAGTGGCTTTTTGCCAGCCTCCTCAACATTGCAGCTGCCCCCTCCCCCCAGCCATGCCAGCCTCTGACACTGCCAGGCAATGACGTGGCTTCTGAGAATAGCAATGCCCAGGTGCCACCTGCAGGGCTGCAGGGGAGCCCACCCACCATCCTGGCTGGCATTCCGCCTCCTCTCCTCCTGCCTTTGCATCGCTGGCATTATAGGGGGCCTGTGAATGTGGGGATGAGCCAGGGCACCCTCTACCCTCCAGCCTCCCATGCTCAGGCCTACAGTCCTCTCCAAGGTCAGGGCTCTGCCTTCATTATTTCTGAAGCAAGTCAAGGGTGGAGTCGGCCACAGAGTGCTGACTGACTGATGAGGACCCTCACCTCAAGTCCACCTAGGAGGCAGGAGTGCAGGGATTTGGATTCTGTAATCCCTGTGTCCACAGCTCCCTGAGGCTGGGAGACACTGGTGGGGCGAGCTGTCCATTCCTCTGCCAGCAAAAGCCTACCTGGGACAGAGGTGGGGGTGGGGTTGTTTGATGACAGGCAGACAGATGGGGTACTGAGGGCCACTGCATGGTCCCCGAAGCACCCACGCCATGGCCCAAGCTGCAACCGGGGGCACACCCCAGGCTGTGACCTCTCTACAGCTGCTCCCACAGGGCTCTTCAAAGAGTGGCAGCCCCAGAGTAGTGGCCACAAAAGTGCCAGGCCAGCCGGGCGCAGTGGCTCATGCCTATAATCCCAGCACTTCGGGAGGCTGAGGTAGGTGGATCACCTGAGGTCAGGAGTTCGAGACCAGCCTGGCCAACATAGAGAAACCCCTGTCTCTACTAAAAATACAAAAATTAGCCAGGCGTGGTCATGTGTACCTGTAGTCCCAGCTACTCAGGGAGGCTAAGGCAGGAGAATCGTTTGAAACAGGGAGGTGGAGGTTGCAGTGAGCCGAGATTGTGCCACTGCACTCCAGCCTGGGTGACAGGGCAAGATTCCGTCTCAAAGCAAACAAAAAACAAAAAACAAAAATGGCCAGGCACACTGATGTCCTGCCCTTTAGAAAACAAGTGTGAAATTGGGCTGGGCGTGGTGCCTGGCGCCCGTAATCCCAGCACTTTGGGAGGCCAAGGTGGGCAGATCACTAGGTCAAGAGATTGAGACCATCCTGGCCAACATGGTGAAACCCCGTCTCTACTAAAAATACAAGAAAAAGTAGCTGGGCATGGTGGTGTGCACCTGTAGTCCCAGCTACTTGGGAGGCCGAGGCAGGAGAATCGCTTGAACCCGGGAGGCAGAGGTTGCGGTGAGCCAAGATGGTGCCATTGCACTCCAGCCTGGGCAACAAGAGCAAAATTCCGTCTCAAAAAAAAAAAAAAAAGGAAAAGAAAAAGAAAAAAAAGAAAACAGGTGTGAAATTATTAGAACAATGCATGCTGGTTATTACCAATACATACCATCAACCACAGGCTCAGTGATTTTTAAAATAAATAACAGCATCATTTATGTGGAGAAGTATTGCAAATGCTTGGAGTCCACGGAGGGTTCACACATAGTCTCATTTAATCCTCACAGCAAACTTAACAGTAGCTATTATTATAGTCCCCCATTTTAAATTGAGGAGACTGAGGCTCAGAGAGGGTAAGACATTTAGACAAAGTCACTGCAGTGGTAACGCTCCCCTTTTATTTTCCTTTTTTTAAATTTAAAATTTTTGCCCACCTGTAGTGGCAACTCTTGAACCCAGGTCTTACTGACCCCAGAGAGTCAGCCACTGCTCCCTGTTGCCTTCCTGGGCCAGAGACTCTCACGGGGCTGTCTGCACTAAAGTGTTCTTTCTATCCCCTGGCGCCCTGAGCATCAAAGAAGCTTTACTCACTACGTGGGGACCCCTCGCCTTGGATCACAAAGAGTCTCGACCTTCCTGGACATCAGGTAACCTTTTGCCACAGATGGTCCTCGGCCAGACACATTCCACTGACCCAGCCCGTCATTTCACAGTTGGTGAAGCGAGGTCCCAGCGGGGGGAGGGGTTTGCTCAAGGTCACGCAGGGAGCATAGCAAATAGCCACCCCATGTGGTCTTCGTGGGGAGCCTGGGCCCCAGGCAGGGGAGCTGGGGGCCGCCCCCACCCTGGGGCACACACCATGCGTGGCTGGGCAGCCCTGGGGCTCCCCCTCTGGCTCCCAGGCCAGGAGAGACGGGTTCGCCAGGCCTGGCAGGCATTGCAGAAGCAGCTGTTGTCACTGAAGCACACACAGCTGGGCCCCAGCTTGCTGCCAGGGAAATTGGTTGTTCACTGGAAGTAAAATATTGATCTTTCCTTTTTGGGGCCACTCAATTACCAGGCTTCCCCTTCTATTTCTGTTGCCTTTCTCTTTGAGCTGATTTTTTCCCCCCACTCAGTCCCCTGGGTCACATCTCTTCTAGCTCAGACCAGATGATGTTAAAAAGCTTCGTTGCCGTTGCTGTCTGATTGATTACCAGCCAGATACTCCCTGAACCCATGCCCAGCCACCCACGCCTCCCTAATTTCAAGGTCTGAAGGCCAGATGGACTCAAGCAAGCCATTTGCCTTTCTGAAATCTCAGCTGCCTCATCTGAGCAAGTGAGATAAGCCGGCTTATCTTGCCGCTGTGAAGCTGTCTGCAAGGCAAGGTGCCTAATAAACGTCAGCCATTACTCACGGGAATCAAAGCAAATGCTTAGCGAGCCTTCCTTTGTGCCAGGCACTGTTCTGAGCGCTCTATGCATATGAATTTGTTTAATCCTCGCCACCACCTGGGAAGCAGATACCATTATTATTCCCATTTTACAGGGGAGGAAACTGAGACATAGAAAGGCAAAGTCATTCAGAATTAAGGTCACACAGTTCGTAGAAGACGGCTGAACACAAGAGGCCTGGTTCCAGACTCCATGCCCTTAGCCAGTAATTATTATTTCTGCTAAAATAATTGCAATCACTATTATTATGCTGACAGGTTTAGGGGCTTGCTCTGACCAGAGAAAGAATAAATCTGTATTCTGCTCTCTTTTAATCTAGAAAAACTGGCATTGGTACTGACAACTTTTGCTTAAGAATTTGAGTATTAAAAGAAAAATTAGGCCAGGCACAGTGGCTCATACCTGTAATCCCAGCACTTTGGGAGGCCGAGATGGGTGAATCACCTGAGGTCAGGAGTTCGAGACCAGCCTGGCCAACATGGTGAAACCCCATCTCTACTAGAAATACAAAAATTAGGCAGGGTGTGGTGGTGTACACCTGTAATCCCAGCTGCTTGGGAGGCTGAGGTGGGAGAATCACTTGAACCTGGGAGGCGGAGGTTGCAGTGAGCCGAGATCGTGCCACTCTACTCCAGGCTGGACAACAGAGCGAGACTCCGCCTCAAAAAAAAAAAAAAAAATTAGCTGGGTGTGGTGGTGCGCGCCTGTAGTCCCAGCTACTGGGGAGGCTGAGGCAGGAGAATTGCTTGAACCCAGGAGGCGGGAGGTTGCAATGAGCCAAGATTGTGACTCCATCTCAAAAGAAAAAAAGAAAGAAAAATTAATTTTGAGACACTGTGCCACTAAAGCAGAGGTGGCCAGCTAGCATCTCAGATGTGGCTTGAGGACAGACTTAAAATTAGATGCCAATATTTAAAGCCAAGCAAGCCTCCTGGTTCTGGTTAAGATGGAGTAAGCACACTACAGTCTAGCTTTCCCATTGATTATAACTAAAAACCCTGACAGAAGACATAAAACAACTACACAAGGACTGTGAAAAGTGAATAGTGGAAGGTGAATTGGGGAGGAAAACAAAAACGTTAAGTAAGATGAATACGGTGGTGAGCTTGCATATTTCCTGACCTAGACTCAGGAGCCCAAATCCCAGAACTGTGCAGCAGGTGCACAGAGAAAAAGCTACGGAAGAAACTCTCTTTCTGATGAGAAGCCGGGAAAGGGGGGCCTCCTGGGAAAAATCGAGTGGGAGAAGTGCCCTGGGTCTTTTTTCTCTCCCAGCCCCCTCCCTACAAGGTAAAACCTGTCCCAAAGGTTAGGTGGTGGCAGCAGCCGTAGCAGTCACACAGGGGGACCTAAAACTCCGAGAAAGGGAAAATCTTTTACCTGGAAAAAAATGAGAAAAAGGGGCCCCTGGAAGCTGGATAGGGCGGCATCACAGAAAGAAGGGAGCTTGAGAATATGATCCCATAAAGTTGTTGTATTTGAGGTCCTAGCCTACTCCTGAGCTGCACATACATGGAACTGACCCCAAATAACCTACCAAAGACTCTGAGAACTGAACTACAGTGTAGACTGAACAGACTGGCCCCTGGAGTATGTATACTTGGGGTGGATCTGAATAGCACTGCAAAGGCTTTGAAAACTGAACTGACATTGAAACTATAATTCACAGAGGGCAGGTTGGGATCTGAGGCGTCAACCTAACTGATTTAAAAAGCAAACAAACAGACTGGGCACAGTGGCTCATGCTCGTAACCCTAAGGCTTTAGGAAGCTAAGGTAAGAGGATTGCTTAAGGCCAGGGGGTTGAGGCTGCAGTGAGCCATGATCATGCCAATGCACTCCAGCCTAGGTGACAGAGCAAGACCCTGTCTCAAAAACAAACGAATAAACAAACAAAGAAAAAACTGACATTCTTCAGAGGATTTTAACAGGCCCCAGTGTCTTACAGTATTCCAAATGTCCAAGACACAGTCCAAAATTACTTGACATACAAAGAAACAGGAAAAGCTGACAACAATGTACAAGACAAAAGACAAAAAGGCTGGGCGCGGTGGCTCACGCCTGTAATCCCAGCACTTTGGGAGGCAGAGGCGGGCGGATCACGAGGTCAGGAGATAGAGACCATCCTGGCTAACATGGTGAAACCCCGTCTCTACTAAAAATGCAAAAAATTAGCTGGTCGTGGTGGCAGACACCTGTAGTCCCAGCAACTCAGGAGGCTGAGGCAGGAGAATGGCATGAACCCAGGAAGCAGAGCTTGCAGTGAGCCGAGATCGTGCCACTGCACTCCAGCCTGAGTGACAGAGCGAGACTCCGTCTCAAAAAAAAAAAAAAAAAAAAGGCAATCAATAGATAGATACCAATGCTAAGATGACCCAGATGTTGCCATTATTAGACAAAGACTTTAAAAAAGTTATTATAACCATGCTCCATGGTTCAGTAAAGGTGAACAATCCGAAATAAATGGAAATTTCGAAATTCTTGCAGAAAAATAGATGCTAGAAAAAAGGAACCAAATGGAAATTTTAGAACTAAAAAATACAATATATGAAATAAAAGTTCATTGGATTGGATCAATAGCAGAACGGAAATCACAGTACAAACAGTGATAGAACAACAGAAATTGCCTAATCCAAACAAGGAAAATTACCAAGGATTCAGACAAACATTATATTAAAGGGTCAACTCACCAAGAAGATACATAACAATCCTAAATGCATATGTCCCTAAAAACAGAGCTTCAAAATACATGAAGCCAAACTAATAAAATTGAAAGGAGAAATAGACAAATTGACAATCATAGTTGGAGACTTCAACACTCCTCTAGAGAATATAACCAGTTAGATAGAAAATCTAATTTTTAACAGTAGAGCTAGTTAGATGAAAAATCAACAAGGGATCTAAAAGGTCTGAATACCACCACTAACCAGCTTAACCTAATTGATGTTTATCGAACACACCACCCAAGAATAGCAGAATACACGTTCTCTTCATGTAAACATGGAACTGTCACCAAGGTAGATCATGTAGATCATATCTTGGACGATTAAACAAACTATAATACTTTTTTTGTGTGTGGTGGGGAGGCAGGATCTTACTCTGTCACCTTGGCTGGAGTGCAGCGGTGTGATCATAGCTCACTGCAGCCTCCACCTCCCAGACTCAAGCAATACTCCCACCTCAGCCTCCCGAGTAGCTGGGACTACAGGGATATGTCAACACGCCCAGCTAATTTTCTTGTAGAGACGGGGGGTCTCACTATGTTGCCCAGGCTGGTCTCGAACTCCTGGCCTCAAGAGATCCTCCTGCCTTAGCCTCCCAAAGTGCTGGGATTACAGGCATGAGCCACAGAGTCTGGCAACAAATTTTTAAAAACTGAAATTATAAATGTATGTCTTGCCGGGCGTGGTGGCTCACATCTATAATCCTGGCACTTTGGGAGGGGCTGAGGCAGGTGGATCACCTGAGGTCAGGAGTTTGAGACCAGCCCGGCCAACATAGTGAAACCCCATCCCTACTAAAAATACAAAAAATTAGCTGGGCGTGGTGGTGGGCACCTGTAATCCCAGCTTACTAGGGAGGCTGAGGCAAGAGAATCACTTGAACCCAGGAGGCGAAGTTTGCAGTGAGCCGAGATTGCGCTATTGCACTCCAGCCTGGGCAACAAGAGCAAAACTCTGTCTCAAAAAAAAAAAAAAAAAAGTCCTGTGACTATAATATAATTAAACTAAAAATCAGTCTCAGGGCTCAGTGGCTCACGTTTGTAATCCCAGAGCTTTTGGAGGCTGAGGCAGGTGGATCACTTGAGGTCAGGAGTTCAAGACCAGCCTGGGCAACATGGTGAAACCCCATCTCTACTAACAATACAAAAATTAGCTGGGCATGGTGTCCTGTGCCTATAATCCCAGCTACTTGAGAGGCTGAAGCACGAGAATTACTTGAACCTGGGAGATGGAGATTTCGGTGAGCTGAGATCACACACTGCACTTCAGCCTGGGCAACAGAGCGAGACTGTCTCAAAAAAAAAGAAAAGAAAAGAAATTTTAAAACAAGCAAAAAAATCAAAAACAGAAAGGCATCTGAAAAATCCTCAAATACTTGGGAATTAGGCAGTATGTGTCTAAATAATTCATGAGTCAAAGATGAAGTATCTTTTTGTTTGTTTGTTTGTTTGAGATGGAGTTTTGCTCTTGTTGCCTAGGCTGGAGTGCAATGGCGTGATCTCGGCTCACTGCAACCTCTGCCTCCCGGGTTCAAGCAATTCTCCTGCCTCAACCTCCCGAGTAGCTGGGATTACAGGCATGCACCACCATGCCTGGCTAATTTTGTATTTTTTAGTAGAGATGGGGTTTCTTCATATGGGTCAGGCTGGGCTTGAACTCTCGACCTCAGGTGATCCACCCCCTTCGGCCTCCCAAAGTGCTGAGATTACAGGCATGAGCCACCGCACCCAGCCCCAAAGTCTCAAGAGAAAATAAAAATAATTTAAACTAAATGAAAATGAAAATACAATACCATAAAATTCAAGCCCAAAGCAAAAGGGAGGAAAGAAATAATAAAGATAAGAGCAGAAATTAATAAAATTAAAAATGAGACTGGTAGAGAAAAATCAACAAAACCCAAATCTGGTTTTTTTTTTGAAAAGATTAACAAAACTGATGCATCTCTAACCAGAATGACAGAGAGAAAGAGAGAGAGAATACAAATCACCAATATAAAAAATGAGGCTGAGCACAGTGGCTCACACCTGTCATCCCAGCACTTTGGGAGGCCAAGGTGGGAGGATCGCTTGAGACCAGGCATTCAAGATCAGCCTGGGCAACATAGCAAGACCCCATCTCTACAAAAGATTAAAAAAATTAGCCAAGCATGGTGGCACATGCCTCTGGTCCCAGCTACCGGGGTTGGGTGAGGTGGGAGGATCGCTTGAGCCAGGGAGGTCAAGGCTGCAGTGAGCCTTGATTACACCACTGCACTCTAGCCTGGGTGACAGAGTGTGACCTTGTCTCGAAAAAAAAGAAAACAGAGATATCATTACAGTCTTACATCCTTTAAAAGGCTAATAAGGGAACACTAGAAACACTTCTACACACATAATTTCTACAACTTAGATGAGCTAATGGACCAATTCTTTGAAAAACACAAACTACCAAAACTCATGCAAGAAGAAATAGATAATCTGAACAGTCCTTGAGTGATTAAAGAAATTAATTTCCCAATTTATATCCTTCCAAAAAGGAAAACCTCAGGACCAGATAATTTCACTAAGTATTTAAGGAAAATATACATAAATTCTACACTACCTCTTCCAGAGAATAGAAGAGCCACTTCCCAACTCGTTTTATGGGGCCAGCAATAATACCCTGTTACCCAAACCAAACAAAAGCAATATAAGAAAACTACAAACCTGCTGGGCGCAGTGGCTCATGCCTGTAATCCCAGCACTTTGGGAGGCTGAGGTGGGCGGATCATGAGATCAGGAGATCGAGACCATCCTGGCTAACACAGTGAAACCCCGTCTCTACTAAAAATACAAAAAATTAGCCGGGCATGGTGGTGGGCGCCTGTAGTCCCAGCTACTCGGGAGGCTGAGGCAGGAGAATGGCGTGAACCCGGGAGGCGGAGCTTGCAATGAGCCGAGATCGCCCCACTGCACTCTAGCCTGGGCGACAGAGTGAGACTCAGTCTCAAAAAAAAAAAAAAAGAAAAAAGAAAACTACAAACCAATATCCCTCATGAACACAGATGCAATGAGCCTCTGCAAAATATTAGCAAATCGAATCCAGGAGATATATATGAAAAATATAACAAGACAAGCAGCCGAATGGGGTTTATTCAGCAAAGCTGGCCCAACATTTGAAAACTAATGGATGTAATCTAAACATGACCAAAGAAGAAAAACCTATCAAAAGATGCAGAGAAATCAAGTGGCAAAATTTAACATCCATTCATGATACCAAAAAAAAAAAACAAAAAAACTCTCAACAAAGTAGAAATATAAGGGAACTTCCTTATCCTTCCTTATCTTAGAGAAATGAAAACTTACATTCACACACACCCACACAAAACTGCACAAAAATGTCCACAGCAGCATTACACATAATCACCCAAACCTAGAAACATCCCCAGTGTCTCTCAACAAGTGAATGGATAAGCAAGTGTTCCCTAACCAAAAAGAACAAATGATTATGCTACGGGAAAGAAACCACTCCCAAAGGTTACAAACTGTATGATTCCATTTACGTGCAAAAGGCAAAACCATAGTGACAAAGCCAGATCAGTGGGTGCCAAGAGCGAGGAGGAGGGACTGAAGACAAAGGAGCAGCCGGAGAGAATTTGGGGGATGAGCCGTTCTGTCCCTGATGGCAGTGGGAGTCACAGGAGTCTATGTAAATAGTGACACTTCTTCCCCCACCCCCAAAAAGCGAATTTTACTGTATGTAAAGTAAAAACAATTTTTTAAAATTTTTCTTTAAAAATCAAGGGAACTGGCTGGGCACGGTAGCTCACAGCTGTAACCCCAGCACTTTGGGAGTGGGTCAAGGCAGGAGGATCGCTTGAGCTCAGGAGTTCCAGACCAGCCTGGGCAACATGGCAAAACCCTGTCTCTGCAAAAAATGAACAAAATTAGCCAGGTGTGGTGGTGCACGCCTGTAGTCCCAGCTACTTCGGAGGCTGAGGCGGGAGAATCACCTGAGCCCGGGAAGTCAAGGCTGCAGTGAACTGTGATTGTGCCACTGCACTCCAGCCTGAGTGACACAGTGAGACCCTGTCTCAAAAAAAAAAAAAAAAAATCAAGGGAACTGCACATACAAAGTTGGATATCTGACTTTAAATTTTTATTTTTATTTATTTTATTTTATTTTTTTGAGACGAAGTCTCACTCTTGTCTCCCAGGCTGGAATGCAATGGTGCGATCTCGGCTCACTGCAACCTCCGCCTCCCGGGTTCAAGCGATTTTGCTGCCTCAGCCTCCTGAGTAGCTGGGATTACAGGTGCCTGCCACCACACCCAGCTAATTTTTGTATTTTTAGTAGAGACGAGGTTTCACCATGTTGGCCAGGCTGGTCTCGAACTCCTGACCTCAGGTGATCCGCCCGCCTTGTCCTCCCAAAGTGCTGGGATTACAGGCATGAGCCACTACGCCTAGCCTATTTTTATTTTTGTTATAGACAGGGTCTCACTGTCACCCAGGCTGGAGTGCAGTGGCATGATCATAGCTCACAGCAGCCTCGACCTCCCAGGTTGAAGGGATCCTCCCAACTCAGCCTCCCAAGTAGCTGGGAGTACAGGCATACACCACTACACCTGGCTAATTTTTTGTAGAGATGGGGTCTCATTATGTTGCCCAGGTTGGTCTTGAACTCCTGGCCTCAAGTGATCCTCCTGCCTTGACTTCCCAAAGTGTTGGGATTACAGGCATAGCCCCCATGCCCAGCCCCTGGCTTTTCTTGAAAAATCAGATCTGGCAATACAGGTCCCATATTCCCCCACAGCAACAATGAGCGACAGCTGAATTCAAGCACACTCTTTAGAAAGGGAATGTATTCTGCTCCCCAGCTGTCTATGGGAACCCCCAAATCTCAAGTAGTTCCCCACCGCAGCCCCACCTAGGCTGCATTCCTTCCTGGCCCCCATGGGCATCGGAGTGGCAATTCCTGCTACCCCAGGCACTAACCTGGGCTTGGCTGGGCACCTGACATCGTCTATATCCACAAAAGGGGTTTCAGGGCTTGGCTTGGAGTAGGGTGAAGTTGAAACTCCCCAGCATTTTTATGCTGTTTTAGCAGCCACAATAGAAGACAGATGGGAAAAGAGGGGAAAGGACAGTGCCTGTGGGGTGAGAGGGGCCTACAAAGACAGTGGCAGGTCTGGGCACCTGGAGACTCCCTGCAGCAGGCCGGGAAGTGCCTTTTGAACCCACGTGGAGCCTAGATTTCCCTGGCAGTGCTTCTGGGGAAGGGACCCTCTGGAGGAGGTGAGGCAGGTGCTGGGGCCAGATCCTTGCTCAGGGGTGGCCACTCTGGAGGCCTTACAGTCAGGAGACACCTGTGAGGACACTGGGGTACCGGAGGCATCGTAAATCCCAGGACCAGTTGCAGGGTTTCCTGCTAGGAGCTGGCCAGGTGAGGGGGACAGTGGGGAAGGACGTGAAGGGCAGCAAGAGGGAACAGGAGAGGGAGAGGGGGCAATGCTGGCAAACGCAGGGGGTCTGGGGTGGATGGAAGGAATATGGGGAGGGGGCGTCATCAAGAGATGGGGCCAAAGAGAGAGGGAACAGGCCTGAAAGAGAAGGGCTTACGAGCCAGGCAAAGGGCCTGTATGTGCTTTATCCTGAATATGGGCGATAGGAAGCACAGGGGCAAGTGCTGACAGCGGCAGAGCTGGCTGGTGTCAGGCAGCCTTCGAAGCACTCAAGTGCATCACTCCCAGCAGCCCTGTGAAGTAGCCAAACCGCCAGTCATTCCCCTCTTACAGCAGTGGACCCTGTTGCTGTGCTGGCCTCACCGCACAGCAGGCAGGGTTGGAATCCAACTGCCCCTAGCTCTGTCCCTCTTCAGACTGGCCCCTTCTCCTGCTGCTGCAGGGGCTCTGGCCCTCTCCTGGGGCTTCAGGCGAGATGCTCCAGCTGCTTGTTTATCCTCACTCCCAGCAGTCCAGCTGCCTGACATCAGGGCACACAATAGGACCCTGTATTCTGGAGCCGCCACCCCCAGGCCGGCCGGTGGGACAAAGGGCACAGGCCGCCACTGGCCCTCTCCATTAATTCTGAGGCCAGGATGGGAAGGGAGCCAGGCAAGAACTTCAGCAACACCGGCCTGAGACAAGGGATGAGGGAGGCATTTCCAAAGTGGGTCCTTCCAGTTCCTGCACCCTGAGCCCAGGCCAAAACATCCCACTGTCTTGCTCCCACTCCCTAAGCCCGCTCCCCTCCATGTGAAGGGCTGTCCCACGGAATCAGTCAGACTTACCCTGGGTAGGCCACTGGTAGAGGGGGTATGTGGTTGTGGAAAGCATCCTGGAGGAGTCAGGAGCCCCGGGCCCAGGACCAGCTCCGCAATTAGTGGCGCCCAGGGCAAAGGGGAACATTACCACGAATTTCAAGAAGGCAACCCCAGAGCACTAATCCCTGAGTGACTGCACAGGTCGCATGCCGAGAGAGCGGGCTCTGCCTGGGCTTCGATAAGGTACCACTGCGTGACCTCGGGCAAGCCCTGTTGCCTCTCTGGGCCTCAGTTTCTGTATCTATAATGCACTTCCGACCAGCTCACAGGACCGCTGTGACGATCAGATCAGACTATGAGTCAAGGACATCAGAGGCTGCAGAGTGCCATGGATGTGCCAGGTGCAAAGATGCATAAAGGGGGCCTGAGGGTGAGCCTTCCCCCGGGAAGGGACAGGCAGAGGGGCCACCAGCCAGCTGGGAGGCTGCGGAGACCGTCCGCAGGGGGGCTGAGGTGAGAAAGTAGGGTGGTCCCTGAGACCCTCTGAGAATCTCAGGGATGCTGTGCTTCCTGGGCCCTCCATCCAGTCCCAGCTCCACCACAGACTGCTTTACTGAGTGGTCTCGCTGAGCTCCTTCCCCTCTCTCGGCCTCAGTTTCCCCATCTGGACAATGACAGCACTGGATAACATTAATATTGAATGTCTCTTCCAGCTCTGAAGTCTCTATGATCGTAATGCTTTCAGGCATGTTTGGGGTGGGCATGGGGATTGGGGGGAGGAAGAGAAGAAAACCAGAGTGGAGAAGCAGACGGGGTCAGAGGACTGGGAGAAAAATGCCTCCATTTACTGGAGCTTCACCACGGAACAAGTAAATGGCTTGGGGACCTTGGAGTGGGTGTGGCCCTGGGGAATTACTCAACCTCTCTTCCGAGCCTTTTACTTCCCCTCTTCTATAAAGTCAAGAAATAATGACAAGAACGGAGGCAGATTCGTCAGTCACCACTATCCTGCCCCTCCCCTCCTCTTTGTCCACGTAGAGCGCCCCCTGGGCCTGAGGTGCCCACCTCCTGTCTGACCAGGTGCCTGGGGCCACTCAACCTGGAGCATGAGTTCTGACTGGACCAAGCCAGTTCCGGGGGGCTCTTCCCCCTTGCCAGTGATTGGTTCAGGCAAAGGCATGTTCTACATCTCTGGCCAATAAGCCATGAGAAGACATCTGCAGGGGGCTCTGGGAGAGGCTGTCTCTGGAGGGTGGGGCCCATGAACAGGAAGCTGTCCCCTCCCTGCTTCCCCTGCTGGAGAAGGGATGCCCTCTTGGGTCAACGCTGGGAAGCTCAATGGAAGGGGATTGGGTCCTAGCTGGTGCCTCTGAGCCCCTGAGGAACCAGCCCTGGAGCTGCCCTACCTTGGACCCTTGTGTTATAAGGAAGAATACACTTGCCTCAGCATGTAAGTTATTTTGCATTGCTTCCTGGTTCTCACAGCTGGAGGGCCCCTGCCCAATGAAGGACCCCGCCTCAGGGACCCACTGGGATAAAAGGTGGTGATGGGAGGGGAGGTGGAGAGGGCCTGTGCGGCTTTGGAGTGCCTCTGGCCAGGGTGGCTAGACATCCAGAGGGCTGGCCAGCACCATGGCCCAGTGACATGGTACCCAGGCCACCGCCTCCTGGGAAGCGCTGTCCCAGCCGCCACAGCTGGAGACATCTTCCTTTATGGGACCGCCAACACCTCCATCCATCTGAGTGTCATCAGGTGGCCCCTCATTCACAGCCTGAGTCTGGGCTGACAGAATCCCTCCGGCCACCCACAAGGGCTTTGTTTGGGGTCTGAATAGGAGCGAAAGTGACAGAAGCCTGGGTGGTCTCTGAAGTGGACTGGCCTCTGCAGGCATCCGCCCATCTGTCCGTTCCTTTTGCAAATGTTTCCACAGCTCTTCAGCCAGACTGACTGGCCTGTGGGGAGACAGAGAGGCTCCCAGGAAGCTCCCAGGGAAGGAACAGATGTCCTGGAGTTATTTTTGAGTGAAATAAAAATAGCCTCGGGAATAGCATAAAAGTGTGTAGGTGACTGTTAATACTGCCACACGCCCAGAGGCAGGGTAGCGTGGCTCCCAGCCTCTGGAGGCAGACATTGCTGAGCTGGAATCCCACCTCCTCCATTTCCCAGCTGTGTGACCAGTGGTGGATGACTCAACCTCCCTGAGCAACATCATTGCCTCATCATGTGTTAGGACTGAGAGGGGATGGCATATCAAGACAGCCTGGCAGCTGACACAGAGCAGGCTCGGGATAAATGAGGCTTTCATAGGCAGAGCATGCCTGGACGCTGGTCAGGAAGCTGCGGACACCCGTGAACCTCATGAGCTGGGACAGCCAGTCGTTGCACCTCTTCTTCCAGCAATTTTTAACTGGCTGAATTTAAAATATGAACTGGATCATTTTTAAACTTCGGGGAAAAAAACTCAATGAAACTCTTATGACTCTTTTGAAAAACTGCTGATAGCACTGTAGGGGAAGATAAGACAGAATCCATCACAATGTAACCCCCTCGAAGGTGTTACCCCAAATCCTTGCAGTTTTGGGGCCCAGAGGAGACAGACAGCCCAGAGGGCTTGGGAGATGTGGAAGGGCCTTGGAGGAGGAGGGGGTTATGCTGGACTGCAGGTGGAAGAACTGACACAGCAGGTGTGGGGAATGGGAATTCAAGAAGCGGGGCGTTGGTGTGAGCAAAAGGGAGGGAGGAGGGAGAGGGTAGCCAAGGCCAGGCCGTAGAGGTGCTCGAAGGGTCTGAGGAACCACCAGCTGTTCTCAGTGGCTGGAGGGCAGGGGGAGGCTAAATATGGGGGCGGGGGAAGAGGGAAGACACTCTCTTCTCGGGGGGCCTATGGAAGGACAGCTCCCTCCGTGCCCTCCGTGTGAGGCCCTCTGTTGACATCTCTGGCTCTCAGCATAGTTTGAAAGGCGCTGCTCGCTGTGGGCTTTGGTTGGCTTTAGACCCATTATTTAAGGTTACATGGGAATGTCTGCTCATCAAAGGGGGGTGCTGGCCTGCAGGAGTTGGGCCACTCTGAGCTGTGGTCCCTGGACCCTGCCTCCTCTAACCCATCTATCCCGCCCCATCCGAAACATGCCGAGCTCCCCAGCTCTGACACTTCAACTAGACTCAAACTGAAAAGCTCCCGCCAGTCCTCCCTCCATTCCCCAGAAAATGAGTTAACCAGGACACCTCATGGCCTTTCAGTAAATTGAGGTTTAGCTACAGAAACAAAGCAAAATACAGTGGCTCCAGGCAGAAATTCCACTGTTGCTGTCAGTACAACACAAGATGGCAAGTGAGAAGGGCGACTTGTTCTGGGAATCCCATAATGGAATTTCAAACGTACCATGAGGCCCTGGCAGACCCCGACCTCTCTGAGCCTCAGTTTTTTTGCCTGTGAAATGGGGCAGGTACTGCTCCTCACCTCACTGCCCACTGGTCAATCTCTCCACCACGGAAACCCCACTTGGATCCCAGGGGAGGTGCAGCCTGTAGCCCTGGCAGAGGACCTGAAACCTATCTGCGCCTGGTGTCTGCCTGCTCCCTGGGACTCACTGGTGTTCACGTACATTTCCTGGGCCAGGTCTAGCCAGGGGCTGGGGACAAGAGGAGCTCCCAGGCTCTGTGGGCAGCAGAGATTAAGGTGGCCCCGCCCCTTCCTATCCGTGGTCCCTGTGATGGGACAGGGCAGGATGGGGATTAAGGTTCCAGTTTCACTGATGAAGCAAGTGGGACCCAGAGAGGTTGAGTCCTTCACCCAAGATCACCAGGATGGCATTTCTTAGAGAGTGTCAATGTGTTACATGTAGAAAGGTTTCTGAAATCCGTAAGTTTGAGACAGGTTAGGCTGGAGTCAGCATTTTTACCCGGAGGCTTTCCTGGACTAAAGTGAAGGGGGAGCGGGCTCCATTTCCACATTGCTTGACCAACTGCTGGATCAGAATACCCTTTCCTCCCTCTGTTTGCTGGACACGGGTGGGACCCCTGCTCTGGGGATCTAGAGCTTTTCTCCCTTGCACAGGACATTAAATGGGCCATTTCCATGGCAAAACCGGCATCTGTGTGAGAGGAGGGTGGTGGTGTGCGCAGTCACCCCTAGAGGATGAACTGTCTAGGTTCACTTGCTCCACACCCCTGCCTGCAGCTCGTGGGTTCAGCTGCCAGCACTGATGCACTCACTTGGGGAGGAGAAATTCTGGTGGGTCCTCCCAGGACCAAGCTGCTCCCCAGGTGATTGAACTCAGCATCCCCAAACAGAACAAGTGAACCTCACACGGCCCCTCATGAGATGCTCGGTCCTACCCAGCCTGGCTGCGGCCCTCCCAGAGCCCCGACTGAGGCAAGGACGATGGCCAGAGGGGCTGTCTATGTCTCAGGCTTTCTAGCCCTCGCTTCCTCTCTGCTGCAACTGCACCTTCTCCTCGGAAGGACGCCCTGCAGTCTGAGTAGCTGTCCTCATGGGAGGCACCCCCAGGCAGCTCAGCAAATTCCTCAGGGCCCGTATGGCAGGGCCAAGGGCCACAGGGGAGGTCTTGAGTCTACTCATTTTGTAGACGCTCTTTGCAGAGGCAAAGTTCTTTTCCAGCAAGCACGGCAGGAGGCAAGAGGCCTCATCCATGATTGAGGCCCTTATTTATAATTTAAACCTCTTTCCCAAAAGAAAGTAGCTCAGAGGCCTGGGGTGGAGGACCAGTGTAACAGAGTCCTGGGTATCAGAAAGGACTCAGGCGTGTGGCACCTACACACCCTTCCCCTGGTTTATCCTCATGCGAGCCCTTGGAGGGAAGTTACTGGCCTCACTTAATAAACCAGAAAACCAAAGCTCCAGAGAGTCAGGGACTTAGCTGGGATCTCTGGGCTAGAAGAGAGGAAAGCGAGGTTGTTTTGTTTGTTTGTTTGTTTGTTTGTTTTTGAGATGGAATCGCACTCTGTCGCCCAGGCTGGAGTGAAGTGGTGCGATCTTGGCTCACTGCAACCTCTGCCTCCCAGGTTCACGCTATTCTCCTGCCTCAGCCTCCAGAGTAGCTGGGACTACAGGCGCCCGCCATCACGCCTGGCTAATTTTTTTGTATTTTTAGTAGAGACGGGGTTTCACCATGTTAGCCAGGATGGTCTCGATCTGTTGACCTTGGAATCCACCCGCCTCGGCCTCCCAAAGCGCTGGGATTACAGGCGTGAGCCACCGCGCCCGGCCTGGAAAGTGAGGTTTGAGCCTGGCATTCTGATCCAGGGCCTACGCATCCTCCATTAAACCGTGTGCCATCCAGGGTGGAAAGATGGGAGGGATTCTCATCCTGTCATCTCAACACAGATCTGCAGAGCCTGTTCACCAGGGTGGGACCCTGGAAGCTGCATTTTCCAGGGCCTCCCCTGGAGATTCTGATGATGAGACCCTGAGAGGGGAATCCAGATTGGGCGGCTGGTGGACCTCACCCAGCAGGGAGTGGCAGGAGCTGGTCTTCAACCAGGGCCCTGGTCTTGGAGCTGGCACATGCCCTCTGAGGCTGGCAGAAAGGTGGTTAGGTGGTGGCAGTGGGAATATTCCCAGCAGCAACAGTGGAAACAGAAGGGCTGTGCCATCACCCCTTCCCAGGCAGACTCAGCCCACAGCAGTCCCAGCCCCTCCAAGGGTGTGACACCATGCCCCCGCCCCCTTCAGCCCCCTCGGTGCAGTGCTGGGACTACAGGTGCGCACCACCATGCCTGGCCAATTTCTGTATTTTTAGTAGAGACAGGGTTTCACCATGTTGGCCAGGATGGTCTCCAACTCCTAGCCTCAAGTGATCCGCCCACCTCAGCCTCCCAAAGTGCTGGGATTACAGACGTGAGCCACCACACCCAGCCCAACTTGCACTATTTTCTACTATGCAATACCACCTTTTCAATTTACCCCTGTATCTGCAGCCGCAGGTGCAGGTATGTTTCTCCTTCATCATCATCATCATCCTCATCATCCTGGGACCACGTGGTGGCAGCAGCAAGCGCACAATCCCAGTGACTTATGGACTTGGATACTTATCCCTATCCCCACAAGAGCCCCAAATAATCTATAACCAGCGCAGAACTTCCTCTTCTAAATATCCCCAAAGACACAGAGTGCACCCTAATAACTCCTCTCGGTAAAGGGCTTAGGATGCACAAGGGCTGTGCTAAGTGCTTCACCCTCCTTCTTTCATTAGCATCATGAGAACCCTCTCAGGGGAACAGTATCGCATCCCAATTTCGCAGGTGAGGCACCAGGAAGTACAGAGGCCCATCCCAGGTCATAGAGCCGGCAAGCTGGAAATCTGGGAGTTGACCTCTGACCCGTTCAGACACTGAGTCCTTGATCACAAAGCCCTCCTGCCTCCCAAACCATCTAGCAGCCTCAAGAAGCAGAGAGGAACTTGCTTCCAAATCACAAGATTTTGGGGGCAGGGCTCAGGAGGAGCTGGGGCTCCTGGGTTCCGGGCTGGTCCCCTTGCACTCTATTTGTTTACTCACCCAGTCGGTTAAGTAACACTGTGCCCCTGTTACACACTATAAACCCAGTACTGTGTACCAGTACAACACCCTGTGTTGGAGGCAGAGGGCTGCAGAAACCCAGCATCTGTCCTCATGCCAGGAGAATCACAGAAATAAATGCTCCTCCCTGCTCCTTGAGTGCAGGGTGGGAACCAAGAGAGCTTGGGCTAAAAGGCTAAGTTTTCCTACACATCTGGAGTTTCTTTCTACCCAACGTTGCAATGCCCCTCACCTGGTAAGTGCACCCTGATTTTCCTCTGGGGAGCTGCTCCTCCCCATTCTCTGTGATTTGGGTGGACTGCCGCTGAGGATGGGCACCTGACCAGGCCTGGCCAAGTGGAGACTCATCCATTCCAAGCATAATTCTTTACATCAACTGGGAAAATAGCAAGCATCGTTGAAACATTTAATAGATGCTGGGAAGACATTTGATACAATTTACCATCTGGTCTTGAATAAGACTCTAACAAAAGGAGAACGGAGCGGAGAGGGGGTGGTCTTTATTAATATGCAAAAGAATATTGACCTAAACCTAAGTACTGACAAGGTACTTAATGGTAGGAAGCTACTGTCTCTCCACTGTAAAAAATTATAAGGAAAGGATGATGGGGTCCTGCCTCCACCATCCCTTACCAACCCTTATCCCTACTGGCTCCACCACCATCCAAGACCACACACGGGCCAGGGAACAGCCTCAGCCCAGCTAGCTGCATCTGGCTGCCCGGATCAACTCTGCGGCCGTCTGTGTGCATGTTTCATCTGGTCCATCATCCCTGCTCTGCTGCCTGGGACTTGGTTTTTCTGCCATGAGGCTGGAGTCCTCCCCTGAACCATAGCAGGAGGCCTGATGGCCTCTTGCTGGCCCCCTTCCCTCTCTATTAGGCCACCTCTTGTGCCAACACCAGCCTCGACCTCTTCAGGATTCACCACTTCCTTTGGGACCCTGTCTGTTAAGACCACTGCCCCTGCCCCAGCTGTTCTCCTTGACTCACAGCTGGGCCTGTGGCCAATGTTCCAGCACATGTCAGTTGGGGCGATGTCTCCTGTGCCCACCCCGCTTAGCTCTAGAAATGCTGGCGGCTCCCATCTCAGAAGAAAAAGTAATTGAACTCAAAAGAAGACACAAAACAATGACTTTTGAACTGGATGGCATGGCTTACCTAGGAAATGCAAAGTCATCAACCAGAAAACTACTAGAAATGATAAATGAATTCATACCAGTGGTGAGATTAGAGAAAACATTTACAAAAAATCAATTATATTCCTATATGCTAGTGACATGCAGCTAGGAAAAAAATCAATGGAAAAAAAGTACTTAATTCTCAGCAGTAATAAAACACATTAAATATTAAACATTTATTTAGTCCAATTGTAAAACACCTATTTTTAATGTTAATATTTTGCTCCTATTGGGAGGACTAAATATAGTATGTAAAGATGGCAGCACTCTCTAATCTAATAGACTGAATGCAATACCCGTTACAGACCCTGAAAAATGTGTTACATTCTTCAAAATCCATAAATAATGAAGACTATCAGAAGGATTTTTAAAAGGTAATAATGATTGGCTTGTTTCAATTAAAAATACATTATTCCAAGTCATAATGCTCAAAATGTTATAATGTTGCATTAAAAACAAAACAAAAAACTGTTGAGCATTAAAAAGAATGAAGGTAACAAGGTATGACAGGCTGGGGAGGTAAGGAGCCACAAGTTCATAGTGATACTCAGAAAAGGGGGGTGGAAGGAAAGAATTTTTTTTTTTAACAGAACAATGCTCTATCTGTGGAAAGAATGAGAGAATTAGAAAAAAATCACCATTTGGCAACCACCAGTGTAATTTACTCAGGCAAGGGGCATCAGTGGATGCTAAAACTATTATGTAAACCAAATGTTTACACTGTCCCAAGGTATGGTCCCACAGATTACCTATTAATTATAAGGGGAAAAGTACCATTATGTTGAATAGATGAGGTAGACACCACCTTAATCAAGTGATTGAACTCAGCATCCCCAAAATAGAACAAATGAACATCATGTGGCCCCTCATGAGATGCTCTGAGGACACACCACCACCTGTCCCTGCCAAAAACGCTTACTGTGTATCTAACCTCGAGGAAACAGACACATCCAGGTGATGGGACAGTCTATAGGACAACTGGCCTGGACTCCTCAGAAACATCAATGTTATGACAACTAGGGAAATCTGATTATGAGCTGAATCTTAGATGACATCGCTGAATTAATGTGAAATCCCTGGGTGATCATGGCACTGCATTTGGGCAGGAAACTGTCAAGTATTTATGGGAGAAAGGTCAAGATGTCTTTCATCTACTGAAAATGGTTCAAGCAAAACAAAACAACAGAAATGGAGTTAGATGATAGATGGATAGATAAGACAGACAGATAAGAGGTAGGGTGAAAGCCAGCCACGATGGCTCATGCCTGTAATCCCAGCACTTTGGGAGGCTGAGGCAGGAGGATTGCTTGATCCCAGGAGTTCAAGACAAGCTTGAGTAACATAGTGAGACCCCCATTTCTACAAAAAATAAAAATAAATTAGCAGGACGTGGTGGCACACACCTGTTAGTCCCAGCTATTCAAGAGGCTGAGGATCGCTTGAGCCCAGGAAGTTGAGGCTGCAGTGAGCCAAGATCACACCACTGTACTCCAGTCTGGGTGACTGAGCGAAGCCTTGTCTCAAAAAAAAAAAAAAAAAAAAAAAAAAAAATCAAGTGAAACAAAAAAACAAATGTGTCAAAACACTAAACAGTTGGTGAGTTAACTGGGGGTTATAAACAAAATGGCTTATTTATTCTTGTTAGAGATGGAAAATAAGTGTCTAACTACTAAAGAAGTGATAGATATAATCAGAAACAAAGCAGATGTGATATAATTGAAAGAAAACATATTCACACACAGGAAAACTTTTGAGCAATAAGATATGATTAACAGAGAGAAAGAGGAAAGCAACAGAGCAAGAAAAAATGGCATGACAAACAGTGCTGAAATATATAGAACTGACTTTAAAATAAAGGGCAAAACAAAAATTCCCCTTGATAAATGCTGAAAAAAGATCGATAGGACAGTTTATGCAGAAAGAAATACCAAGAGTAAATAGCAACATGGAAAAAATGCAAAGTCTCATGAGCAATTAAAAATGCAAGTGTAAACAAGATGTGAAATACCATTACACACCTATCAAACTGGCAGAAACAAATACATTAAAATAATAGTGCTGATGGGGTCGTGCAGAAACAGCACCCTCGTGCCTGGAGCAAGGCTTGCTTTGAGGCAGGGGAGACAGAAGGAGGAGACACGACCATTTTTAGAAAAGGTGACCAGAAGCCCAAAGCCAGTGCCTCTGGCCAGACAAATGAGCAGACAGGCCCTGGATTCCACCCACACAGTGTCTAGGACGTGCCTCCTGGGGGTCAGGGGTTGTGAGATGCCCACACCAGAGGCCACTCCTCTGGCTGGCAGCTGAGCGCCTGCGCTGGGAGCAGAGCCCAAGGGACAGTCAGTGGTACTGAGGGAGGTGCAGCTCAGCTCAGGGTACCCAGGACTCCTCCTCCAGGCTTTCTGCAGTGAGCCTGGCTCCAGACAACCCCCCTTCCGCCCTCTGGAGGGCATCATCTGGGGAGCAAAGTATCCCTGGGCCCCACCCTGCTTGCACCAGAGCAGGAGCTGAGCCCAGGGGTTGACCAGCTGGCCCAGGTGCCCTGCCAGGTGGGCTGGGCTCAGTGAGCTGGGCTGGGCAGAGCAGAGTGTCTGCACTATTAGTGCAGACACTAATAGTGACTGGTGTGAGGGCCAGTCGGTGCCTGGGATGAGGCAGGGGTGGGAGAGGGAGGAGACACCACCATCTCTAGAACAGATTCAGGCACAGTAAACACCTCGAGGTGAAAAAGGGTCACGATAGCTCACACCAGGCAATCATAACCAGATGTGGGTTTTAAGGTACAGAAATTCAATTCAGTGCTAGTTAGCTTTCTTTTTCCTACTATAAAAGTAAAACTAAGTATAAAGAAAACTAAGAAAAACTAAGTATAAAGTAATTTAAATTTCTATATCAAGAACAATATTTGATAATTTTTTTGCTTTTAAAATAAAGAGCAGGCTGGGTGCGGTAGCACTTTGGGAGGCCTAGGAGGGCGGATCGCCTGAGGTCAGGAGTTCCAGACCAGCCTTGCCAACACAGTGAAACCCCGTCTCTACTAAAAATACAAAAAATTAGCTGGGTGTGGCAGCGCAAATGCCTGTAGTCCCAGCTACTTGGGAGGCAGAGGCAGGAGAATCGCTTGAACCAGGGAGGTGGAGGCTGCAGTGAGCCGAGATCACGCCACTGCACTCCAGCCTGGGCGACAGAGCGAGACTCCGTCTCAAAAAAAAAAAAAGATCAGCTGCCCTTCAAATGATTCCTGAGAGCAAGGGCAGGCCCTGAGGCTGCGTGAGCTTGGCAGGCCTATGAGTGCCACCTGCGCTGGGCTCAGGGCTCCAGCACCCAGTCATGGAGGTGGGAATCATGGAGGACCCATGTGAACGCCTCCAGACCGCCTGGGAGCCTCCCTCTGACCCTCCCCTTCTCTCCATCCTCAGGGTCCCCTCTCCTTGCCCCTGAACTGGGACAGAAGCCTCCCACCTCAGCCCCTTCTCCCCAACCCACGCTACTTCTAGGTGGGTTTGTCTAAAGGCAATAGAGCTGTGTGGCCCTCTGCTTAAACCTCTTCAACATTTTATCCCGAAACCTTTGGGATAAAATCAAGCCCTGCCACCTCCTGCCTCCAGCCTGCCTGGTCAGCCCCTCCACCCCTGCAGGTGGGCCTCTGCACAGGTAGGTCTCACCTTTGGCATACCTGTCCTTCCCTCCACCCTGGCAGACCCTGTTCCAAACTCAGCCCCGCCATCCATTTCTGAAGTCCCACTCCAGAAAGGCTTTCTCATCTCCCAGGCAGAGTGACTCTCCTATCTTCATGCCTCAGCCACACCTGCACAAGCCCGCACCCTTCCCGCAGGTCTGGTTTCCATGTCAGTCCCCCGCCCCCACCGCAGGGAAGGAATCCTATCTTACTCATCTGTATACCCTCTGGCCCCAAACATGACACAGAATCTGACCTCAAAAAATCTGTAAAAGAGTGGATCAGACAGCTGACTCAGAAAACCTAGAGGTGGTGGTAACGGTCATTTTAACAAACATATGTGACACTATGTCACGTGTCGTTTTGAGGGTTTAACATGCATTGCTAATATTATCCCCACTATACAGATGAGGAGACTGAGGCATAAAGAGGTTAAGTAACTTCTCAGAGTCACGCAGCAAGTAAGTTGCAGAGCTGGGTCTCAAACCAGATGTGTCTGACACTAGGGCCCAGCTCCCAGTCACTTCCCCAGGGCAGGGAGAGAACCTGAGAGATGGCCTGGCCTGATCTGAGGTGCAGTAGAAAAGTGGAAGTGGGGACGGGGCGGAGAGCAGGATGGGGCCAAGGCCGGCTGGGGCTGCAGGGCCTCTGACTGGGGAGGATCTGCAGTGCAGGCCGAGGAGGATGCAGGAACAGGAGTGTGTGGTCCACGGGCTGGCGGGGCGGCCAACTGGAGACAAAGAAGACTCAGCCCCACACAGCCTGGGCCTGCAGAGGATTACCTATGAGTGCCTGGCAGGAAATCGGAGCAGTCAGAGAAATGCGCACCTCCTGGGGCCATGGAATCACCATTTGAACAGGAAGTGGCGCAGATGCATAATTCTGGGCACAGTTCGCTGGCAGCCTCCCTCCCTGCCCAGTGCTGGGATGCAGTGCCCATGAGAGGGCCCCTGGCCGCCCATCCTGCAGAGCCCAGACCTACTTCTGATCTGCGCATTTCCCAACCGAGACCACCCCAGGCTCAAAGTCCCCAGCCAGAGGAAGTCTCAAATTTCAGATTTCTCCAATGTTAGATTTCTGGAACTCAGATCAGGTCACTCTCTCCCTCCTCTGACCTTCTAAGAACATGAGACCCCCACAGCAGGAAGCTAAAAAGGCAGCTTTAGAACCTGACAGACCTGGGTTCTAATCCCAGCTCCACCAGTTACTCAAGACCCTGGACAAGTCACTTCACCTCATGGAGGCTCCTGGTTGCCGTGATGACGAAAGGGATTAAGAAATACAAAGGCAGGGCCGGGCGCGGTGGCTCATGCCTGTAACCCCAGGACTTTGGGAGGCCAAGATGGGTGGATCACAAGGTCAGGAGATCGAGATCATCCTGGCCAACATGGTGAAACCCCGTTTCTACTAAAAATACAAAAAATTAGCTGGGTGTGGTGGTGCACTCCTGTAGTCCCAGCTACTTGGGAGGCTGAGGCAGGAGAATTGCTGGAACCTGGGAGGCAGAGGTTGCAGTGAGCCGAGATTGCGCCACTGCACTCCAGCCTGGGTGACAGAGCGAGACTCCATCTCAAAAAAAAAAAAGAAAGAAAGAAAGAAATACAAAGGCAGCCAGCAAGTTTTGGTGGGTCCTGGAGTCCTTGGGTCTCCATATCCTCTCTGTCCATGGAAAATCACCAGTGGCTGCAGAAGACTTTGGTCATTGCACAAGGGAGCCCCATGCCTGGGGTGTACTGGGCAGAGAAAGGGGTCAGAGGTGCAGTCCTAGGACTGAGGGCAGCGCAGTACCCATGTGGGTCATGGCTGGGCGGGGGGGCGGGGCGGTGAAGAAATGATGCAATAGCCACCATGCTCAGTCATACTCATATATCTCTATATATTCAATCTCCAACCATCACAACAGTGCCACAAATAGGGGTATGACCTCTATTTTACAGATAAGGAAACTGAGGTCCACCTATCATAATAAGCACCTTTAAAAATAATCTGGCCAGGCGCGGTGGCTCACGCCTGTAATCCCAGCACTTTGGGAGGCCAAGGCGGGTGGATCACAAGGTCAGGAGATCGAGACCATCCTGGCTAACACGGTGAAACCCCGTCTCTACTAAAAATACAAAAAAAAAATTAGCCAGGAGTGATGGTGGGCGCCTGTAGTCCCAGCTACTTGGGAGGCTGAGGCAGGAGAATGGCGTGAACCTGGGAGGCAGAGCTTGCAGTGAGTCAAGATTGCGCCACTGCACGCCAGCCTGGGCGACAAAGCAAGACTCTGTCTCAAAAATAAATAAATAAATAAATAAATAAATAAATAAATAAAAATAAATAAAATAATCTGAGCCTTCACATTTTTCAGCAAGGTCCCAGCTCTTGCCAGACCCAATGGCCTGTGTGGGAAGTGAGAAATCATAAAAAAGAGTTGATTCCATAGAGGGCAGGAATCACTGCACTGAGGTGTTGCTGCTCATCCAAAACTCATCTGAGCTACTCAGACCCTCCCAGCTCCTGAGCCCTCCCGAAAGTCACCATCTGGTCCCTGTTCCAGCCTGAGTTCTCAGTCTCCCTGCCCTCCCTGTCCTTTCACCACATGGAGACACTTGTCACTCCCTGAAAATACCAGTCCCCATCCCTGGGTCTGTGCTTAGGACTTTTGCATGACTGATACTCAGGAAGTGGTAGATGGTGGGTGGATGGATGGATGGATGGATGGATGGATGGATGGATGGATGCATGGACAGATGGGGAGGCTACGGAAGTGGGCAGAAGGGTGGATAAACAGATGGGTGGACTAAGGGGTGCGTGGCTAATGAATGGATGGGTGGATGGACTGTTGGATGGGCGGTTCACTGGACGGATGGATCAGGAGGTACATGGTTGGGTATATATGGATGGAAGGGATGATGGATGGGTAGATGGATGGGTAAGTGGATGCTTAGGTGAACCGGCAGGCAGATGGTTGGATGAATGGGTGGAGGAAGTGTGAGCAGATGGAACTCTAGGAGATAGATTTCAGCTCGTTATATGAACAAGAACTCAGCCAGAGCCCTGCCAGGTGAGAATGGGCTTGCCTTGGGAGGCAGCGCGTCCCTGTCTCTTGGCTACTGAGTGATGCAGGCACTGAATGGGAGTCTCATTGAATGACCTCTACTCCCCTTCTGGTTTTTGTTTTGGTTCAAATCAATCCTCTGTCTATCCTGTCCAGGTGCTAGCCTTAGACTGGGATCTTCCTGGGGACAGTGCCCACTGCAGGCCCATGTGTCATCAGCAAACACTTTGGAGGAAGCTGGCAATCTTCTCCGGGTTTTGCGCCTGTAAGCCCTGAGCCACAGCAACTGCAGTGTGTGTTGGACTCAAGGCCTTGGTCTCCAGGGAAGCCAGAGGTCCTTACAGCTGGAATCTGGGCTACAGCTGTATGGAGCCTGCTCCCCGTCTTGGGTCATGGGTTGTTATAGAAACCTATAAGGATTCTGGGCTGCTCTGCTCATCCTGCCCTCAAGGGCACAGAAGCTATGGACAATGGGTCCTCAGCAGTGACCTCAGGGGTGACAGGTTGCAGGGAATTGGTGACCCTAAGCTATGGCCCCTGGGGGAGTCTCCAAGAATCTGAAGATGCTGGGGCAAGCCTGGCATTTTTTTTTTTTTTTAATTAGACAGAGTCTCGCTGTGTCGCCCAGGCTGGAGTGCAGTGGCGTGATCTTGGCTCACTGCAAGCTCCACCTCCCGGGTTCATGCCATTCTCCCACCTCAGCCTCCCGAGTAACTGGGACTACAGTCGCCCACCACCATGCCCAGCTAATTTTGTTTTTGTATCTTTAGTAGAGACGGGGTTTCACCGTGTTAGCCAGGATGGGCTGGGTCTCCTGACCTCGTGATCTGCCTGCCTTGGCCTCCCAGAGTGCTGGGATTACAGGCATGAGCCACCGCTCCCGGCCAAGCCTCACTTTTAAAGGGGGCCAGACCACACCTAGGTCAGCTTCTGTAAACTCCTTTGTTGTGGGCAATGAGATGAGACCCCAGGGCCAGGGTAGAAGGAAAGGGAGAAAGAGCCCAGGATGTGCCAGGCGGTGGGGGCTGAAGCGTGGTCCCCAGACCTGTCCATCGCCACTGGCTCCACAGCTGCACTCAGGTCTCACAGGCCAACGTGGAGCTCCCGAGTCCTCACCCAGCCCTCTTCCTCTCTGCCTCCCCACCCAGCAACGGCAGCTTGTCTCCAAAGTCTCCTCTTGCTCACTCCCACTGCCAATCGGCTCCATTTTCAAGATCCAGCCACTGCTCCACGGCTTCTCCTCTGCTCCTGGCCCCCAGCGCCCATCACCTGGGTGAAGAACTAGCCTTGGTGCTGGTCTCCCTGCCTCTCCCCGGCCCCTTCTGCCTCTCCGAGGAGCCACACAGCAGCCAGGGTGGTCCCCATTAAACCTAAGTCTGATCCTGTATCTCCTCCGCTCAGAACCCTTTGGGGGCTTCCATCTCATTCCAAGAAAGCCAAAGCCCCTGCAGGGAAGGCCACAGGAACTGGCCCCACCCTTGTCTTCGGGCTCACTGTGCCTCTAAGCCCCTGGGCAGGCTCCTGCCTCTGCCTGGACCACGTTTCCAAGACATATGCAAGGTGCAGCCCCCATTTCATTCTGGGCTCCACCTCAATAGCCATCTATGACATTGTTCTAAGTACACTGGCTTTTGTTTCGGCACTAATGTTTCTTTCTGCCACTTACCCGCACCTGACAGTTGTTTCTATTCCTTTGCCTCTTTTCTGCGACCCCTATCAGAATGCGAGCCCAGGTCCCTGTTGTTTCCTATTTCCCAGTGCCCAGGGCAGGGTTGGCACACAGTAGGTACCCAAGATGTTAATGGAATAAAATGGCTTTTTTTTTTTTTTGAGATGGAATCTCACTCTGTCGCCTAGGCTGGAGTGCAGTGGCGCAATCTCGGCTCACTGCAACCTCCTCCTCCTGGGTTTAAGCGATTCTCCTGCCTCAGCCTCCCGAGTAGCTGAGATAACAGGCGTGCATCATCACGCCCGGCTAATTCTTGTATTTTTAATAGAGACAAGTTTCACCATGTTGGCCAGGGTGGTCTTGAACTCCTGACCTCAGGTGATCCGCCTGCCTCAGCCTCCCAAAGTGCTAGGATTACAGGCTTGAGCCACTGCGCTGGGCCTAGGAATAAAAATTTTTTATTTGTATTTATGTATTTATTTTTATTTTTTGAGACTGAGTCTCGCTCTGTCATCCAGGCTGGAGTGCAGTGGTGCAATCTCAGCTCACTGCAACCTCCGCCTCCCGGGTTTAAGCAATTCTCCTATCTCAGCCTCCCAAGTAGCTGGGACTACAGGCGCATGCCACCACGCCCGGCTAATTTTTGTATTTTTAGTAGAGACAGGGTTTCACCATGTTGGCCAGGCTGGTCTCGAACTCCTGACCTCAAGCAATCT
This sequence comes from Homo sapiens, assembly GCF_000001405.40. Lineage (NCBI taxonomy): Eukaryota > Metazoa > Chordata > Mammalia > Primates > Hominidae > Homo > Homo sapiens. The sequence continues at coordinate 478,349 of NW_025791803.1, read as the reverse complement.
GCCCGCCTCGGCCTCCCAAAGTGCTGGGATGACAGGGTTGAGCCACCACACCTGGCCTAGAATAAAAAATTTTTAAATCTGGACCCGTGTTAAGGGTAAATGTAAGGGATACTTCCATAAAATCAACTCTATAAAAATTTCAGCGCATTTACCCAATAACTTGGGGCTAGGAGGACAGCAGTGACTTGGGCAAGCCATATGCCATTTCCAGGCCAGCGGGCATTTCCCCTCCATCCCGCCCAGGTTGGTGTGACTCAGCTCTAAGAGTCTATCTCAGCCAGCTGTCAGGTTCCCCTTCTGCACTGTTCCTGGTGGCACTGCTCAGGGCTGGGGTGGGGATGACTGCTCAGTGGGCCAAAGGGGTGCTGCAACAGGAAGGGAAGGAGCCCTCCGCCCTACACTCCAGGGCTGAGGCAGAACCCCTCCTCCATGTGGACCTGTGAACACCCCTATTCCTGCCGGCCGAAGGTTGCCCAGGCCGGGGCACCATTGTCCAGGAGCCTGCTGCCCACCCTAGCAATGCACTGCCCTCCAAGGCAGTGTTGCCCAGTGCCGAACTTCTCAGGCAGTGGAGGCCCTGCTGAAGGAAAAAGGGGTGGCTTTGTAGCCATCGCCCCCGTTCCCAGGTTCCTGGGCTCCCTACTCCCCGCCCACCAGCCCAGGCAGCACACAGGAATCTCCTGGCCCAGCCTCTCCTCCCTCTGTCCGGTCCTTTCTTCTTCTTTTCCTCTTTGGTTTTCTTCCCGGTGCTAGGGAAGGCTCCTAAGCCTCAGAGCCAGGGCCAGGTCTGAAAGCCACGCTGCCTGTCCAGCCTCGTGACCCACCTGTACAAGGGGGAACGTCACACTTCATGGGCTGGACGCCCATAAGGGAAGCTTGTGGATGGTTCAAGGTTCTCTACCCACTGATATCCCTCGGAGGGCACGTCTTGCTGATGGGAAGGGCTGATTCTTCCCCCTACTCAGGTCTATATGTCCCCCATTCAGGTCTCACCAATGGAGGCAGGGATCACACCCCCCACCCCCCATGGCACGGTCTCTCAACGCTGGCATTTCCTCCTTCTCTAGAACTCCAGTGTCTTGGGAATGACGCTGGAACTCAGCAAGGTTTTGCCAAATGGATTCAGGCTTCGTCAAGAGTGTCTGACAGGCCAGCTGTGGTGGCTCACGCCTGTAATCCCAGCACCTTGGGAGGCTCAGGCAGTGGATCACCAGAGGTCAGGAGTTAAAAGACCAGCCTGGCCAACATGGCAAAACCCTGTCTCTACTAAAAATACAAAAAATTAGCTGGGCGTGGTGGCACATGGCTGTAATCCCAGCTACTCGGGAGGCTGAGGTGAGAGAATCGCTTGAACCCCGGAGTTGGAGGTTGCAACGAGCCACTGCACTCCAGCCTGGGTGACAGAGTGAGACTCCGTCTCAAAAAAAAAAAGTGTCTGACAAAAAATTAGCTGAGCATGGTGGCATATACTTGCAGTGCCAGCTACTTGGGAGGCTGGGGCAGGAGGACGGTTTGAGCCCAAGAGCTCGAGGCTGCAGTGAGCCATGATGCACCCCTGAACTCCAGCCTGAGCTACAAAGCGAGAGCCTGTTTCAATTAAAAAAAAAAAAAAAGGCAGGGGCGTGTCTGATAAGATGGATGAGTCCCAGCAGACTTTCTGCATCTGGCCTCCTCCCAGCACAGCCAAACTGGTGGGCACAAGAGGCCAGAGGGTGCCCCAGCTAGGACTCGTCCTCCCGCCTCAATGCAGAGTGTGGTGCCACATGCCCATCCCCAGGCCCCAAGGGATCCCCAGCCCTGGCCCCACTTCCATGATGACCTCCAACCTCAGGAGCACAGTTTCCCAGAAGCATAGGAAAGAGAACATCTCTCTGGGCTCACTCTTGTCCTGCTTCCACCTCAGGTCCCAGGCACTCCCACCTTTTCTGCCAGGCTCAGGGCACCTGGGCCTTCCTTCTGATGTGCCAGCCTTGTCACTCTGCATGGTAGCCTCATTAGGGTGGGGCACATAGAGGTTGCCTGGTCTCAAAAGAGCACCTTTAACTATCACCTTTTGGGAGTAGCTCGTTGGGACTTTGCCGGCCTTCCAGGCCCCTGTCAATTCTGCACCCCCCGCCACTGCCCAAGTTAGGATGCTCTTCCTCTCTTACCATGTGCCACAGTCCCGAGGAGGCCTCCTGCCTCCAATCCTGCTCCCCATCCCCTGTTCTCTCATACACATCCACTCTTGGCTGCCTAGGTCTCACTGCCTACAGGGAACCACTGATCTGGCCCTACCTTCCCCTTCACCCCTTCCTCCAGCCACAGCTGTGGGGATACAGTTGTTTCTTCCCTGTTATCCAATTGCTACTCCTGAGCAGAGGAGCTTTAGTTCCAGGTGCTCCTGTTCCTGGAAGCCACGTATCTCAAAAGACATCGATCCCAGCCCCAGGGCTGGCTCCTGGCCGGTCTCAGCCCATCCTAGCACCCCAACCCCTTTGCCATTTCAAAGACCCAGGCTTAACCCAAGTGGCACTAGCAATTCCCCCATAGCAGGCATTAGCTCAGAGGGGACCTGAGGACTCAGGGAGCCCAGTGGGGACCATCATTTCATTTCCAAGCAGGCAGGACAGGCCCACTGTCCAGAGGAGATGGTGCTGTGTTAATGCATGGGAGAGGCCTACTTGGTGATTCTTATTTCTATTTTTCTAGCAAGAAGGACGGTCTTCAAACTGGAAAGGGAAGAGGACCATGTCACAGGGAAGTGTGGTCCAGGACATCTCTGGCTGCTTTCAATGTCTACCATTCTGACTGCCGAGGGGACGTAAGAGGGGCAGGAACACCACAGCTGGTTAAGGAGGGTGAGTTGAGCACACAGAGGCCGGTGCCAGATCTTGACCTCAATTCCTAGCAAATCTCCAGCCTAGAACAGCCTCTCAAAAATGCTTGCAAGTGTTTAGAAAATAATAATAATGACAAGGAGAGCACCAGCAATTCTGATATTATGCCTACTCTGTGCAGATACTGGACTAAGCCCTTTGTATGTATTAACTCACTCAAACCCCACAATAACCCTATAGAATGGGGACTCTGATCAGCCCCATTTGATGGATGAGTAAATAGAGGCCTAAAGAGGTTAGGGAGACAATGCAATATATCAGAAGGCAACACAGGGTCAGGATGTTGAGCCATCATGTTACATACTTATCAGAGTCCTGCTCCCTGGCATTGTAGACTTTCAGGATCAGGGCAGTGGTGTGCCCCCATCCCTCAAAAATCTGCATTTCTTTCTTTTCTTTTCTTTTCTTTTCTTTTTTTTTTTTTTGTGGCAGGGTCTCACTCTGTCACCCAGGCTAGAGTGCAGCGATGTAATCTCAGCTCACTGCAACCTCCGCCTCCCAGGTTGAAGCGATTCTCCTGCCTCAGTCTCCCAACTAGCTGGGATTACAGGTGCACGCCACTACACCGGGCTAATTTTTGTATTTTTTGTAGAGATGGGGGGTCTCACCATGTTACCCAGGCTGGTGTGGAACTCCTGAGCTCCAGTGATCCTCCCACCTCAGCCTCCCAAAGTGTTAGGATTACCGGCATGAGCCACCACGCCCGGCCCATTGTCTCCTCTTTTCTGCTGTGATACCTAGGTCAACAAAGTAGGGAACTATCAGGGACTAACCTAATCCATAAATAACATTATTAAGTAACATTCATACTTGATCCTGACTTCCTTAGTTTTTACCTAATGTCCTCTTCTTGATTCTAGGGTCCCATCCAGGACACCACACTGCATTTAGTCAGCTGCCTCCTTAGTCTCCACTTGGCTCTGACAGTGTCTCAAAATTTCCTTGTTTTGGATGACCTTGACAATTTTGAGAGGTCCTAATCAGGCATTTTGTAGAATGCCTCTCGGATGGGATTTGTCTGGCATTTTTCTCAGGACTAGACTGGGATTACTGGTTTGGGAGGAAGACCACAGAGGAAAAGTTCTATTCTCACCACATCACACCAAGGGTGTATGCCATCATCACAATCTGTCACTATCGATGTTGTCCTTGATCACCTTCTGAGACAGTGTTTGTTGGGTTTCTCCACTATACAGTTGCTGTTCCCCCCACTTTCCAAACTCTACCCTTTATAAGGAAGCCACTACGCACATCTCATGCTTACACGGTGGGACGTTATGCTTCACTTCCTCAATGGGGCAATTATCAACATACGTTATTCAGATTTCTTCTATACGAGAGATTTTCCTATTTATTTATTATCATCTGTTCAATAATTTATACATATATATATTTCATTATGGCCTCATGGATATTTATTTCATACTTTATGACCTAGTATATTTTGGTTTTTGCAAAGCATTTGATCCTGGTATCCCTGGTATTCTGGGGGTAGGTGGTAAACTGTGGACAATCAGCTCTAAGTTCACTGAACTACATATCTAATGAATGATCATTATCCATCCCAGAGCACAAGTGGCTGGGAAATCAATGTCACTGCCTGATTTTAAAACAAATAAAATAGAAACAGTCAGAGTACACTGCATTTCGTAAGGGAGCCCCCCCCCCCCGCCCCCCGCCACCCCACCGCTGGAAAACAACACTCCGATTTTTTAATGCATCAGGGGATAAGATGGGTAGTGAGTAGAGATGCAAAATATATTTCCACGGGTCTCGGTCAATACAGCATAAGCCGAAAACCACCCCTACAAGTGCCTCGGGGCCCTGTCCATGGTCCTGCCCTGCAATGTTTAACCAGCCTTGTGGATTCAGACACACCAAGCACTGCTTCTCCAGCCCGCAGGCAGCAGCACAGCTGAGAGTGATAGAGGTAGGATGCTAGATTCTCTTTCTTGACAGATACAATGTGATGAAATGAACAAGACGAAATTAAATGGGAATAAGGGCCAAGAAACAGGCTTAGATTCCAGAAATTACTGACAGACAACAGGCCCGAATGCTTCCACAAGCCAGGATTGTTAAAAGAAAAAAGAAAAGAAAAGAAAAGAAAAAGGAATTGTGTACAGTAAGAGAGACTAAAAGGTGACAACAACCACATACACTGCACAGTCCTGGAGAGGAAACAGCAAAAATGGACATTTTGGGGTCAAATAGGGAAATCTGAAAAAGGTCTGCATATTAAACCAGATGAAAATTTATTGAAGCAGAAAAGTCATGATCATTTACCGGCAAAAAAAATCAGGTTACAAAACAGTATGCACAGTATGATCTCATTTTCTGGAGAAAATTGACATATAAGCATGGAAACAGCTCTGGAAAGGTCTGACAGAAGTGTCATTGAGGCGCTGCCTGAGAGATAGGACACAATACTTTTTATTTTGCTTGTCCCTATTTCCAGTTTTCTGCAATGCATATCCACCGCTTCTGTAGTAATCTCAGAGTATGCTTTTAAAAGAAAAAAATCACTGACCCTCCCCGAAGGGTGGAGAATCCCTGGCTTGGCAGAGGTTTCTAAAACAGATCCCTGGAGGTTTCGGTGGCCAGAAACTTAATATAAGCAGAGTGCAGTGCCCCATTCAGAGGCAGCCCCACCCTAAGCTGTGTGCATATGTGTGAGGTCTTGGGGCTAATATAGTCCTGGTGGGGGCGGCGGGGGGCGGTCTGCTTGTCCAGCCCTTTCATGTTATTGCTAGGAAAACTGAATCACAGAATTAGTCGATGGCAGCTCCAAGGCCAGAAGCCAGAGGTCTGGCTACTGGGTCACATGGAAATGGCCTAGGGCTTCAGGAACTGGGGTATTTGGCCTGGAGAAGGGAAAATGGGAGTATGGAGCTGGGAAGGAGAGAAGGGGCAGGAGTGCTATTTTCAAATATTTAAAGGCTCCCCCAAAGAAGAGAGACCTATGTGAGTCCCCGTGCAGAACGGTGATGACTAAGTGACAAGCAGGTCTGTCTCTAGAGTGTATGAGGGAGAAGGTTCTAATGGCAGGAACTGTCCAGCTGGGGGAGAAGTGGGTGAGGCTTGCTGGGCACGTGGCTGAGGCCGGTGGCCCCTGCCAGAGGTTGTTGGGAGGCCCTTCCCACTACTGAGGCTCTGAGTTCGGGGACTCCAGGTTTCAGCCAGAGCTGGTAGCTTCTTTACCCGACCTGCAGTCTGTGTTCTGAGAGGAAGGAGCGCGACTATCCCCATGCCAGGAGTCTGCTCAGCCTGCCCCAGATGGGAGCCACTGGAAAAACGGAAGGGCTTGGCTGGCCTTTGGGGAAGAAGGGTCATGGTGGCAGCAGGCAGTGTCCCTCAGCAAAGCCCCGCAGAGGGCAGTCTGGGCTCTCACAGGCACTGCAGTGGTCTTTCCTGTGGTGGGTACCTGAGTTCTCAAGCCCTGAAGCTGCCTCACTCTCTTCTGCCCACAGCTCTCAGCGACTCACAAGTCCCGGCCCATGCCCAGGTGCGGGTGGAGAGATGATTCTCAATCGCCTCCCACTCTCTGGTGACGCAGAGGCACGGGCCCAACCTGGCCATCACCCAGCTTCTCCCATGTTCTGAAATGCCTGGTCCGACCTGTTCTGGGAACACAATGCCAGCCAGTGCCCATTTGAGGCCCATGGCCCCAGGCCCCCCATGCAGGGCCTGAGGCCTTAGATGGCCTTGGAAACCCACTTCTCAGGGCTTTTGGCTCCAGGGGAAACCCCTGACCATTTCAGCCAGGTGGGTGTCTTGTCCTCCCCTTGAGACACAGTCCCCAGTCCCCATGCCGGTGGCACCAGAGGACACTGGTGTAGTGTGCGTTTAGTGATATGACTCCGTCCACCCTACTGGCGGCACCGACCCTCCGCTTCCAGCCCTGTTAACAATCTACGTAAGTCCTGCTTTCCCCAAATAGATGCGGCCCCGCCACATGAAAGCCCTCTGCTCAGCCACCACTCCCCGAGCCTGGCTTTGCCTGGCCTGCTGCAACCAACACAGCCAGCTGCCAGCCTGGCTGCCCAGCAGAGCCTGAATGAGAGGTCACCCGACACTGGCCCGGGAGTACACGGTGGCCCCAGCAGACACCTCCTTCCGTGTCTGGGCAGGGTGTGTGCAGCCGAGGAGCCAAGGCTGCAGAGCACCCCTACCGGTCCCTTTCACCCCCTGGCCCGGCCCAGCAGGACGTACACAGACCCTTGCATCTTGGTCTCCGCAGCGCCGGGTGGGGTGGGGAGCCTAGGGCCGGATTCTGGCAGCTCTCTCCCCCAGACAAGGGTGGATGTGCAGACCGCTCAGAAGGACCTGCATGGCCGAGGAAGGAAGGTGGGCGCAGAAGCCACCCTAGGCGTGACGCGTGACGCTCGGGGCACGGGCGCCGGGGGGCGGAAAGCGAGGGCCCGGCTGGGCCAGGGATACCCGGGGGGGGCCGAGGTCCTGGGCTCCGGCGGAGGGAGGGGATTGGGAGGGAGGCCACCGCCTCGGGCCACGCGGGTGACCCGGCGGGGGAGCTGGGGGAGGGGCGGCGGGGCTGGGCTGGGGTCCCCGGGCCGGGACTGGGGTCGGGCCAGCTTACCTCCTCGCCCTGGCCGAAGCGCAGTCCGAGCGCCGCGACGCGCTCCACGCGCAGGAAGCCGTCGGGGTCGCGGCCGCACACCTCGAACACCTCGCGCAGGCGGCGCACGGAGCGCAGCAGAGCCGCGGGGGCGCCCGACCAGCCCGCGCCGCCCGCCATCCGGGCCGGCCCGCAGCTCAGCCCGGACCCCTCGCCCGCCGCGCCCGCCGCCTGCCCGCCGCCGCCATCGCCGCGCGCCCTCCGGGGCCGCCCGTCTGGGTCTGCGCCGCGCAGCCTCCGCCCGGTGGCGGCCGCGGCCGATCCGTGTCAGCAGCGGCGCCGCAGCCCCAGCCGCTCCGGAGGGGAAGGGAGGGGAGGGGAGGGAAGGAGAAGAGTGGGGAGGGGAAGGAGGAGGGGCAATAGGGGGCGGGGAGGGGAGGGGCGGGGGCCGCGGCGAAAATGGGAGGGAGAGGGGGAGGCGGCGGGGGCGGCGGCGGCGGGGACGCTGCAGACAAAAGGAGCCCGCGTCCTCCCGAGTGGGGCGGCCCACGCGGGGCCGGCAGGCGCAGCGAGCTGCCAACGGCCGCGTCCTCCGCGACCTCAGTTTCCCTCCGCGTCCCCAGTTTCCCTCCGCGTCCCCGAGCCCACCCCTTCCTCTGGACACCCGGAGCCACCCAAAGGCCCTGCCCTGCCGGAGGATTCCGCGGGGTCGCGCCCCTTTCCGCTATCCGTGCCCGCTGCCGCGCCTGGCGTCTCCCGAGCGCTCAGGATGTCCTGGGGGCCTCCTGCATTGGCGCGTTCCGTGACTGCATTCATCCCGGAGGAAGCTGAGGCCCAGAGAGGTCGGACTCACTCTAGGCCACACAGCTGGCAAGAGGCAGGGCCGGGATTCGCTGCCATCTCTGGAGGGCTCTGGACTCCGTTCTTCACCTCCGCCCTGCGGTCTCCCGGCGCTCTCCTGCAAGACAGCACTTGTGGGGCCATCGGGCGGGGGAGGGCACAGAGAGGAGGAGCAGGCAACTGAACCCCAGCCTGGACCCGGGACCCTGCGACGGGGAGATGAGGAGAAAACCAGGATGAGGCCGGAGGGAGGAAAAGCGAGGCGCTTCCAGAGGCCTGCCTGTTCAGGGCCCAAGGCTGCTCCACGCCTGGAAGAGGCTTCCTCCCTTTCGCCGGGTTCCCACCATCACACCTCCCTGGCAGCCCGCATGCCCCAAGCTCAGAGAATCCAGGACAGAATCTCTGTCCCGCTGGCCGCAGGCTCTAGGTCAGGACCCTGGCCTCCTCCCATTAGTGCTCAGCGGAGCCTCCACCCCAGCTTGTGCTAACTTCCCAGCCCAGCCTCGGGGCCCTGCAGGACCCGGCCGGGCTCTTCTCTCCACCTTCTTGCTCGGCACATCAGGTCTTTGTGGCAACGACTGGCCCCAACCCAAAAAAAGGCCTTGGCTGAGTCTACTCCCACCTATGCTGTCATGCTCAGCACAGAGGTTTCCTCCTCCGGGAAGGCTTCTCTGATGGCACGCCATCTTATCTTCTATTCTGAGTTCTAAGCCCTTCTTCCAGGTGCCCAGTTAATTCTTAATTCTCTAGTGGGATGCCCATTTCCCCTACCATGCTGGGAAGCCCTCCAGGGCAAGATATGTCTTAATTACCTTCAAGTCCCTGATCTCCAGGCAAGAGTGGGCCCAGAGGAAGCCCCACCCAGAGGGGATGGGCCCGCCCATTATGTGAGGAGCCGGGAGCAACGTAGTGGCGCAGACAGGGAGTACGGGGTGAACTGCATGGCCTCCCCTAGCTGGGCCTCGGTTTGTACCTCTGTGGTCTTCCTGCTCAACCCTGAATATATCCTGCGCAGGGACTGCCATTTGCCTTCTGACAGTGGGCGGGGACCTCTTCTTTCCAGCCCCGGCTCCTGGGATGAACCTGGCTTTTAGCTACTCTCCTTTGACCCTTCAGTTCGTCTGAGAGCCACGAAAGGCAACACCTCTTGGGAAGAGAGACCTGTGGTTCTGAGGATTGAGGAGTCCGAAATGTGAGAAAGCGGGAAAGGGGAGGCCGTGGGAGTGGAGTAGGGGTATTCGGCTGAGTAGGAGCGTCTCTGCTAGCTGGATGCCGCTCAGCAGGATACTAGCATATTTTAGCCGGTTTCCTCGCCTGTACCGTGAGGATAATAGTACCTTCCTTTTAGGGCAACTGAAGATGAGAGCGAATCTAAGCAATGCTGCTTTCCCCCGACCTACCCTGCAAAATGGAGGTGGAAGTGGAGAATAAGGACAAGCAGCTGGCTGGGAGAGACTGGCTGCTGGAGATCCAGCCAGCCCCCTGGCAAGGAGGTAGGGAGTGGAAGCTGGGGGCTGCTGCCTGCCCCTGGGACCCCGATATTAGTTCGTCCAAGGTCAGCTCGTGCCATTTTCTCTCACCCAAGGGGCTCAGCACAGAAAGGAGATGGCCAGGAGCTGGGGCTGCCCCCTGGTGGGGGCTGCAGAAATGGCTCTCCGCGCTCAGCCTGGCATTGAATGCCCCCTAACTGGGGACAGGGGAGCTGGAAGACTCACCCACTTCAGCTGGCAGAGGCGGGGACCTCAGACCTGAGCATGAACAAATCCCAAGTGAACCAAGACAGAATCCCGCAACCAGATTAGCCAGTTCTTGTCAAAGACAGGATCATCACAAATTCAAAAATCCCCCAGGAGAGCTTTCCCTGACCGGACTCTCCTTGCCCAGGTCTCTGCAGTTTTGTCTCTGGTGGGCGATGGTTTGAAGGACACCTGCCTCCCCCACCAGTGGCACTGGGTCTCTTGCTCACCGCTGTGCTGCTGGGGCCAGCAAAGCACGTCACAGGCATTCTTTCTGGGGTTGTCACGTTTTTGTTGAGCACCTACGTTGTGTTGGGTATGCTAGGGAGACAGTGAAAGGGGTGCAGCCACTTGCTGAACTTGATGGGGGCAGTCATGGCCCAGTGTGATCTACACTGAGGTGCCAGGCTCTAGGAGCCCAAGAGGGCCTGCAGAAATGGCTGAGTGCCTACCCAAAGGTCCCTCAGAGATGGTGCAATTTATGGAGTCCTTGGGTCCTTGGAAGTGGACCTGGGACCACTAGGGCTCCCAAAACCCTGATCCAAGAGCTCAGAGTGCAGCCCCGAGCAGAAGCAGCAAGAGAATACCCATGTCAGGGCCGGCTGCAGGGTGAAGGGGGTTGCTCCAGGAAAGCAAGAGGTCCCCATGGATAGGGCGGGAAGGCGCGGAGCCTCCTTTCTGTCCTCCGCTTCCTCCAGGTGACCTCTGATTCTCCAGGGGATTTCCAACAGCTGCAGCAGCCTGGGCAGGCTGGAAATATACTGGGAAATATACATGGAAGGGACAGTTGGGACTCCGGCCCCTTCTCTAGGAAGAAACAAGTTTGATCAGGTCCCTCCCCTGCTGAAAACTCAATGGCCACCATTGCCTGAGCTGGCATTGTGCAGTGTCTTCATACTCTCCTGCCTCTCCTTAACCCTAGTCTGGGAGCATCCAGGCTCCCTCCTGCCTCCCTTTGCTTAGTGGGTGGGAGGTCTCAATCCTACCCCCACCCAATTCCACTTTCTCTAATTCCTGTCCTTGTGTTGTGGAAGTGGCACTTCCTACCGGAAGCCTTTCATGACCACCCCACTCCTTGCCCACCTTGACCACCTCTCCCATGTGCTCCTGCAGAGAAGTGAAAAGTACAGACTGCAGCCCACTTACAGGTATGGATAAGGCTGTGGTGAGAGTCAGTAAGTTAATACATACATTGTAAGTGTCAGAACAGTGCTGCTGGTTAGTGACAGCTATTGTCCTTGTGACTATCCTTACCATCTTACTCCTATTGTCTATCACCGGATTATCTGGGAAACTGTATGAAAGGTCACAGGAGTGACCATGAGGTCCCTGGGAGCAGGGACTGTGTCTATTTCTCTCCTGATTTCTGTAGCTCCTAAATAATGCCCATACACACATAGTTAGGGTCTGTGTAGGAATAAATTAAGGAATGGACAAATATGGCATGGTAGGCTGAAAAATGCCCCCTTAAATGATATCTATATTCCAATCCCTGTACATCAGTGGTCCCCAACCTTTTTTGGCACCAGGGACTGGTTTCATACAAGTCGGGGGAAGAGGGTCTTGGGATGAAACTGTTCCAACTTAGATCATCAGGCTTCAGATTCTCATAAGGGGTGCGCAACCTAGATCCCCCTCCTGCGCCATTCACAATAGGGTTCCCGCTTCTATGAGAATCTAATGCCACTGATCTGACGGAAGGTGGAGCTCAGGCGGTAATGCCCACTCACCCGGCGCTCACCTCCTGCTGTGGTTCCTAACAGGCCATGAACTGGTAATGGTCTGCAGTCTGGGCGTTGGGACCCCTGCTGTAAATGTTACCTCATTAGAAAAAGGGTCTTTGCAGATGTAATTAAGGATCTGGAGGCTGGGCGTGGTGGCTCACGCCTGTAATCCTAGCACTTTGGGAGGCTGAGGCAGGCAGATTGCTTCAGTCCAGTAATTCGAGACCAGCCTAGGCAATGTGATGAAATCCTGTCTCTACTAAAAAATACAAAAATTAGTTGGGCATCGTGGCATGTATCTGTAGTCTCAACTACTCAGGAGGCTGAGGCAGGAGGATGGCTTGAGCCAAGGAGGTGGAGGTTGCCGTGAGCCCAGATCATGCCACTACAGTCCAGCCTGGGTGACAAGAGTGAGACCCTGCCTCCAAAAAAAAAAAAAACAAAAAAAAAACTAACAACAAAAAAAACAACAGGATCTGGAGACAGGGGGGTTATTCTGGGTTAGCTAGGTGGACCCTTAATGCAATCACACATATCTATAGGATGGATCAGAGGCAGATTTGACACATAAAGAGAGGGTAATGTGACCACAGAGGCAGAGATTGGAGTGGTGCAGCCATAAGCCAAGGAGCAACAGCAGCCATCAGAAGAGGCAAGGAGCAGAATCCCTCCCAGAGCCTCTGAAGGGCCCACAGCCCTGCTGATGCCTGGATTTTGGCCTTCTGGCCTCCAGAACTGTTACAGAATAAATTTCTGGTGTTTTAAGCCACCAAGTTTGTGGGAGCTAGCACAGCAGCCATGAGAAATGAATACAGATGGGATGAATATCATGTGGAAGTTATCAAAGATTATGAAGAGCCAGGCTTTGGAATTCAAAACAGCTGAGCTGGGCACCAACATCTGTTGCTCTTTTAGCCCCATGACTCTGGTCAGGTTAATTTCTCTAAGCTTCAGTTTTTCTACCTTGTAGAGGTCCTTCAGGCTTTTAATTTAAAAAAGATTGCGTCATGCCTCGCCCAGCGCTTGGCACAGTACCTGGCACCTGGGTGGTGATTATGTGTGTCAGTATGGAGCAGTTTAGAACCAGTCTAAAAGGGGGAACATTTCTGTATTTTCATCTGTGAGCCTTGACTTCATTGTCCATGTTGTCTGGAAATGGGGCAGGATTCAGTTACTTCCTGTTCACAACCTGCTGGGTTTTTTTAAACCCATGAATAATTATCACTTTGAAGGGGAAGAAGGTGCCGTGAACTTATTTTCCTTCTTCACTGATCCCAGAATATGTTTCTGTGAGCAAAAGCAGAGAGGCCCCTGCTTGGAGACACAGCCAGCCCTGCCTGTGGAGTGCTGAGGACCCTGGCTGGACTAGGGCACACTTGGGGTGCAGGGGGGCACCTTGAGACCTCATCTTTCCTCTGCTGCATGAGCTGTTGATGTGAGGGGTATCCAGGATCTTCTCTGACCCTTAGAAGCAGGACCGGCTGATTGCTAAAATTCCTTCCGGGATTCTAAGAAGAAATGCCAAAACCTAACTTATTCTACCCAACTGGGCTCCAGATCCTTCTGTCAGCTGCAGAAATGGCCCCTGAAACTAACTTCCAGGCAGGGCACCAATATTTCCCTCCTGGCTTAGGAAGCAGTGTCCTTGGTGAGTCAAATCCACTCACATTCCCTGGCTTTGAGCCTTCTCTACTGCCCACTTCTGCCTAAAAGAAAAACTCAATCCTCAGGGTGAGCGGCAAGCAGGAAGGCCCTTTACAGCCTGATGCTCTCCATTCTGTAAAACATGGCTGGGCAGTAACATCATCTACTATACTCAGTTTACATTTATTGAGCACTTACTATATCCCAGGCATTGTGTGGCATAGACTCCAAGACAGTGACTCAACATGGAATTGATCAGTGAAATGCCTGGCTTGCCTTGCATATGCTGTTCCCTCTGCCTGGATTGTCCTCCCTCCACCACCCCCACTGCCATCCTTCAAATGCCACCCCCTCCAAGAAGCCTTCCCTGAGTCAGCTGCCCTTACTGCTCTGCCCTCACAGAACTTTGCACTCTACAGTGTGTTCGTGATGCACACACAGGGATGCTCTGCCCATCAGCTGTCTCCCCTGGCCAGGGCGCCCAGATGTCTTCTCAGGGATGATGGGATCATTCCAAGATTAGGAAAACAGACACAGGGTCAAGAGCCGAGAGTTAAGAGGCAGGTGAAGGAAGTGCTGTCAGAGCCATAGGAGGAGCGGGAACAGGTGCCTGGAAGCCAAAAGAGGTGAGGAAAATGACTGAATTATAGTTAAATGTGCACATCCTTCACCATGTATTTCTTTTTTTTTTGAGATGGAGTCTCACTCTCGTTGCCTAGGCTGCAGTGCAATGGCGTGACCTCAGCTCACTGCAACCTCTGCAGTGTTCAAGCGATTCTCCTGCCTCAGCCTCCCGAGTAGCTGGGATTACAAGGTGCCTGTCACCATGCCTGGCTTTTTTTTTTTTTTTTTTTTTTTTTTTTTTAGATGGAGTTTCGCTCTTGTTGCCCAGGCGGGAGTGCAATGGTGCGATCTCAGCTCACTGCAACCTCTGTCTCCCAGGTTCAAAGCGATTCTTGTGCCTTAGCCTCCCAAATAGCTGGGATTACAGGCACATGCCACCATCCCTGGCTAATTTTGTACTTTTAGTAGAGACAGGGTTTCTCCGTGTTGGTCAGGCTGGTCCCGAACTCCCGACCTCAGGTGATCCACTCGCCTCGGCCTACCAAAGTGTTGGGATTACAGGCGTGAGCCACCACGCCCGGCTACTAATTTTTTGTATTTGCAGTAGAGACGGGGTTTCACCATGTTGGCCAGGCTGGTCTTGAACTCTTGACCTCAGGTGATCCACCTGCCTCAGCTTCCCAAAATGCTGGGATTACAGGCATAAGCCACAGTGCCTGGCCGCCTACGAGCTTCTTGAGAGCAAGGACCATTCCCCATCAACCTTGTTAACCTTGAAAGGTTGCAAGCTGTTGAGTAGAAGTTATAAAATAACAGTGAAGGTTTAGGGTTGGCCTACGGAGTTGACAGCAGTTCACCTGCACCACTCTAAACTAGTTATGCTGATACTCCCCTAAGGAAGGAAAACAAACCCAGCTCCCTGTAATCCGAATTAGTAAAGAGCTACCTTTTGATAAAAGGAAAAAGATAAAGGTAAAAACATCCAAGAGGTGGTAGTTAATGTAATACCTAAACTCTGCTATCATAAACATCCTTTTTAGTACAATTAAAAGTAAGCATTATCCTCATCTCTTAAAACCCTTTTTGTTTTCAAAGCAATAATCATTGTAAAATGCTTAGAAGATAGACACAAAAAGGAGTAAGTGAGCCATACATATTGTTAACATTCAATACATTTCCTTTTCTTTATCCTATGCAAAAACTATACACATATATTTGTATTTACATAATTGGGAATTAGCCCTCTTATGTGGTTTTAAAACTCTTGATTTTATTGGAAGTTCCCTCCCAAAATTTAAATATTATTAGGCCATTTTTAAAGGCTGCATAAGGAAGTGGTCAGCTTCCAGAAAGTGCTGGATGAATGTAGATAATTTAACCAATATTTTGGTTGTCTTCAGGTTTTCTGATATTATAATACTTTGATGAAAGTCTTCACTCTTTTACCATTTGTTTCTCCAGAATAGATTCCTAGATAATTACTAGGGCGAATGGTATGGACTTTTTTTTTTTTTTTTTTTTTTTGAGACGGAGTTTCGCTCTTGTTGCCCAGACTGGAGTGCAATGGCGCAATCTCAGCTCACCACAGCCTCCGCCTCCCGGGTTCAAGTGATTCTTCTGCCTCAGCCTCCTGAGTAGCTGGGATTAACAGGCATGCACCACCACGCCCGGCTAATTTTGTATTTTTAGTAGAGACGGGGGTTTCTCCATGTTGGTCAGGCTGGTCTCAAACTCACGACCTCAGCTGATCCACCTGCCTCAGCCTCCTGAAGTGCTAGGCTTACAGGCATAAGCCACCACGCCCAGCCAGTATGGACATTTTTAAGGCTGGTAATACAGAGAGATGAGGCCACCTGCAGGAAGAACTCATCGCACCACATTCTTGACCTGCACCAAGTATTAGTTAAGTGTCTTTGCTAATGTGACAAGTGAAAATATGTATCAGGTATCCCATTGTTTCAGTTTGTATTTCTTTTTGTTTACTAATGAGTGTGATGACCTTTTCCATCATAAACAGGAGTTGGTACAATATTTCTGTGGATTGGCCATTCATGTTCTTTGCCCATTTTTCTTTCTGCTTAGGTTTTTTCTTTAGATGAGTTTTTATGAACTCTTTATAATTCCCTATTGGTTGGCCTTTTAATTTTGTGTGTGATTTTTTTGGACATGGGGACATTTTAATGTTAGGCAGTCAATGCGGGACCCTTAGGATTTCTGCTTTTAAGCTTACACTGCTTTTTTTTTTTTTTTTTTGAGACGGAGTCCTGCTCTGTCACCCAGGCTGGAATGCAATGGCACAATCTCAGCTCGCTGCAACCTCCGCCTCCCGGGTTCAAGCAATTCTCCTATCTCAGCCTCCTGAGCAGCTGGGATTACAGGCACATGCCGCCACGCCCGAGAACGTATTGTATTTTGGTAGAGAGGCCCATGTTGCCCAGGCTGGTCTTGAACTCCTGAGCTCAGGCAATCCACCCGCCTCGGCCTCCTGAAGTGCTAGGATTACAGGCGTGAGCCACTGCACTTACACTGCTTTTAAGCTTACAAAGTCCTTCCCTATTGTAGGAGTCATTAATGTTCTTGGCCAATGTTTCCAGCTCTTTCCCTTTTGAACAGAGGAAGATAGTGATTTTTGACCCTTGTGACTTTGTGAAGCTGTGTGTCAAGTTCTGGCAATGACTGTGAAAAGTGACTGTGTATCTGTCCTCAAGCCTTTAATTGCTGATGCAAGAGCTTCCAGATGCTGCTCTGTCCAATCTAGCAGCCAGTAGCCACATGTAACTATTTACATTTATTTAATATAAAAGTTTAGTTTCCCATTCTCACTAACCACATTTCAAGTGTTCAATGGCCACATGTGGCTAGTGGCCACTGTCCTGGACAGTGCAGATATGGAACTGGTAATACAGAAAGATGAGGCCAAGTGCAGGAAGAACTCATTGCACCACATTCTGGACTGGCACCAATATTAGTTAAGTACGTCTTTGCTAATGTGACAAATGAAAATGGGACCCCTCTGTTTCAGCTTCCAGCAGAACATTTCCATCATCACAGCGGCTGGACATTACAGCCTGAGCTCCTTCCCTCTGGCATGATGGCTAGCCATTTGTAGATCAAATGAGTGAGTGATCAGAGATGGCTGATCACTCACTCTGGAGTCCCAAGACATCAGGGTGAGCAGAGCCTCCTGATAACGGGTGATGGACATGTAGCAGAGGTGAGAAATAAGCTTTTGTGGCTTTGAAGCCAATACACTTTGGGAGTTACTCATGCTTGTCTTTTTAAATAAAAAAATCAAAGCATAATCTGGACCTTCTAGCCTGTTCCACTTTATATTTACTCTAATTACCATTAGTATTTAAGCATTTAAAAATTTGTTTTACTACCTAATAAGGAAGTTTTCGACAACCCGTTGTTAGCCATGCTTTCCTGTTTATTCCACAAGGTGAAGAATATTTTCCAAAGATCATTTTGTCTGGATACACTCTCTTCTTGTTGGCATCTTGATCAGAATTGTATTAAGCCAGTTCATTTATTTGGGAAGATCTGGCATTCAACGATATTCAGCTTTCCAACCCAGGACTGTGGTCTGTCTCTCCATTTGCTGGAGTCTCCTTTAAGCCCAGCTTCCTCACATGCCTGCGTGCTGAGCAGTGCTGTGTGGAGAAAAATAAGCAGCAATGAGAGAAAACTGAGGACAACATAGTGACTTTTATAAAGCAAAACTAATTTCTTTTAAAGAACTGTACTTTATCCTGTGATTCCCTCCCCCACTACTCAGAGTTGAAATGGCGTTTTACAAAAAAACTATGTTAGATATATTTTTTTCTTGTTTCTAAATGCATAAGTTGATGAAATGTATTTTGGAAATTTTACTGATCTGTGAAATCTCAAAGTCTGGATTAGAATTTTCAATAGGTCTTTATTACACAGGTCACCTCTATTTTGTTAGGGATTTTGCATTGGGG
Source organism: Homo sapiens (assembly GCF_000001405.40). Classification (NCBI taxonomy): domain Eukaryota; kingdom Metazoa; phylum Chordata; class Mammalia; order Primates; family Hominidae; genus Homo; species Homo sapiens. The sequence goes on along the minus strand of NW_025791803.1, from coordinate 460,421 downwards.
TTGCTATTGTGTATGGGGATTTTCCCATTCTATTTATATAGTTCTTTATAACATAAAGCCTTCAGTGTTATTCAACAACTATCTATTGAGCACCTTTGAACAAAGCATGTTCCCTACACTGGGAGGCTCATAATCCTAACCAGGGACATAGGAAGATAGTTGATGATTACAAAGTTGTTGTATAGAGAAGCTGTCACAGAAGCAAGAGAAGGGCTCTCAGCCAATGGGAGATCAGAAAGCATTTCCAAGAGGTGCTGGTGCTCAAATTGAGTGACAACAAGGCACCCAGAAAATGTTTTGCTGAATGACTGCTGCACACTCAAAAAGACTTGGTATTTTGATAATGAATTTTTGTCTCCTGTAGAATCCTAGATATGAGTAAGGGTGGTATTTGTGGAGTCTTTTTTAATGAAGGCACAGATCTCCTAATTCCTTTCTGCCTTCCATTCACAAATTACCAAATTGCAAAGAAAGTATCTCTTTACCATCAATTTCTTTCTACTTCAACTTTGGGCCAGACTCAAAACATTTATAATTGCCAGGATAGAAAAAGTGTTGCTATTTTTGTGATCTGGGGCTAAGGCATATCTTCACGTATTTTTTGTTTTTATTTTTTCTTGAGACGGAGTTTCGCTCTTGTTGCCCAGGCTGGAGTGCAATGGCGCGATCTCGGCTCACTGCAACCATTGCTTCCCGGTTCAAGCGATTCTCCTGCCTCAGCCTCCCGAGTAGCTGGGATTACAGGCATGTGCCACCATGTCCAGCTAATTTTGTATTTTCAGTAGAGATGGGGTTTCTCCATGTTGGTCAGGCTGGTCTCCAACTCCTGACCTCAGGTAATCTGCCCACCTCGGCCTCCCAAAGTGTTGGGATTACAGGCGTAAGCCACTGCGCCTGGCCCATATACTTTGTAAATGTAGAAAATTAAGCTGCATTCCCCAACGTGGGACAAAAGAATGGAGAAAAATAACACGAGAAGCCAATCTCCTGTGGTGTGCTGCTTTCTGCCTAAACACTTATCTGCTACTTGCCCTCTCTGGGCCAGTCTCTCTCTCTTTTTTTTTTTTTTTTTTTTTGAGATGGAGTCTCGCTCTGTCACCCAGGCTGGAGTGCAGTGGCACGATCTCACTCACTGCAAGCTCCGCCTCCCAGGTTCATGCCATTCTCCTGCCTCAGCCTCCCGTGTAGCTGGGACTACAGGCGCCCACCACAATGCCTGGCTAATTTTTTGTATTTTTAGTAGAGACGGGGTTTCACCGTGTTAGCCAGGATGGTCTCGATCTCCTGACCTCGTGATCCGTCTCTGGGCCAGTCTGTTAACGGACTTGATTACCTTCTGTCCATTAAATACTCCAAAACCCTATTTTCAACTGCTCACTGGACACATTTCAACCTGGACAAACTTCTTGGTCATTCTTTAAGACCCACCTCCTCAGTTGCCAACCATGCCAGTCACTCCATGACCCTCTAAAAACCCCACCCACACCTTGGGACACTGTGGTCATTGTTTGTGTGGCTGTTTTCCCCACTAAGTCATGAGGTCATAGAGGACAAAGGCCAAGCTTTCTTCTTTTGTATTTACAATTATAACCAAAGGAAAAACTTTTTTTGAACAATCAGCTAAGGTTGCATCTGTCAACATTTTCTTCCCTTAAAAATATTAATTTAGGCAATGCTTTCTGAACTTCTGAGCAGGAAAGGGCCCTATTAAGATTCCAATGTGACTGTCTTATTTTATATAGAGGAAGTGGCCAATGGGGCAAGTTCTGAACCTTGTAACCCCAGAAGCATAATGCTCTTGATCACTATTAGCTTGACTGTCAGCATAAAGACATAGTAAAGGACCTAGAATAATTTTGCAATATGACCTTTTTGAGAAAATTTAAAAAGACAAAATAATTTGGCCCAATGTAGGTAAAATGTATCAAGCTGTTTTGGAAACCTGAAATACGCATCCACATATGCATATGTAGTATGTATGTACACACACAGTATAAACCGATTTTTAGAAGACAATTTTTTAAAAAAGCCAAACCAACTGATTAAAATTATAACTCCACATTACTTTATGAAACTTATGATTAGGCAGCACTTCTAAAAGAACAAAATGTGAGAGATTCAAACCAACAGTGACTATGCTGCTGTAGTATGGTTCTATTTTTTTTTTTTTTTTTTTTTTTTAAGACAATGTCTGGCTCTACCTCCCAGGCTGTAGTGCAGAAGTGCAATCTCAGCTCACTGAAACCTCCACCTCCCGGGTTCAAGTGATTCTCTTGCTTCAGCCTCCTGGTAGCTGGGACTATAGGCATAAGCCACCATGGCCGGCTAATTTTTGTATTTTTAGTAGAGATGGGGTTTCACCATGTTTCCCAAACTCCCGACTTCAAGTGATCCGCCTGCCTTGGCCTTCCAGTGTTGGGATTACACGCGTGAGCCACCGCGCCCGGCTGGTTCTAATATTTATAGAAACATAATCAACATTGCAAAAGGGCTTCTTTTAAATTGGCAGCTAAAAGGGTCTTAAGTGGAACTCACCTGAATATGAAGACTGATTTCCAAATGAAGACAGGTTTGGCAGATTACTTGGGGCAATGAATTGCCCTTTAAAGAATTTGGATGCAGCTTTGTCGGAGGCTGTTCTGATGGGCAGTGAGCAGGTTAAGAAGTGCTACTGGTAGACAAGGGAGAATTAGTAATGAAGGTAAATTCCCAAGATGCCTGCCACCACTAGGGGCTTCCCTTGGTGATGGGGGGGGATGGGCTACTTTGTGGAAGAGGAATACTGAGATGCTACCACTTGGTTGTAGGTTTTTTACTATTCTTCCAGAACCTCTGGCCCCTCCTCAACATCCCATGGGAATCAACTCTTCAAGCCAGGCAGTTCAGAATTGCTAGACTAGCCTAAGGGTGTCCCAGAAAGCAAAGCAAAGAACAGGCAGAGAGGCCCATACAAGATGTACTAAGTCGCCCACGTCCTCAGGGAGCTTGTTGTCCAGGAAGGGAGAGCTCTGATCTAGAGGGTCACTATCCTAAAAACATCCCCTAGTTTGGACTAAGATGCTTTAGGTTACAGGGAAAAGGCAGCTATTTGCAGTATTTGAGTTTTCAGTTCTCTACTCCAATGGTCTTTAAACCACTGAGTGCTCCGTAAAATCGCTTAAGAAGTTTAAACACACACTCTTTCTCCCAACAGCCCATCCTTGGAGAGTTTGCCTTTACCTTGGGGGATTAGGATGGGGACCAGTGTATTAGCAAGCTCTCCAGGTGAGGTACCCCTGCTTTCCAGGCCTGCCCATAAACAGACAAGTACTTGCCTCAGACCTGCAGGTATCTATCACCTGGTCTTTTTTAGTCCTTTGTTCAATATCAGACACTGTTACCCTTCTGAGGATAGCTCTGTCCTGTCCACTGGGTCTGGGCTGTGTTCTTTCTCCACTGATTGGGGGAGGCAACCCACATAATCAAGTAAGTAAAATAGTAACACGGGGCAGCTGAGCCAGGGGAGGTGGTTTACATTGTATACACGTGTAGTGTCACAGAAGATTCTATAGCGGGAAAGCTGAAAAGTTGGAGAGAACTGCCCTCTGACTGGTCAATCTTGGGATGCCCTGACATTTCTGACTGGCTTCATTTTAAGAGAAGCCAGCTTATCCCAGAGAACAGACTCACCTGAGTTTGGCAGGCCCTAAAAAAGCATTTCACAAAAATATTTCACTTTTAGTGTGGAGAAGTTCTGGAAATGGAAAGATCTTTCTCACGGGGAGTAGGAGAGCCAAAAACATCCTTAAGGAAAATGGCCTTAATGTTTCAAAAGATTGGGAGGACTCGGGGGGAAGAAAACAGAGCTCGATACATCTGAAGAAATTAAATAACTCCTCATATCTTAGAGCAGATTGAATTTACATTTTACTTAAAAAAAGGGGGGTGGGGGAAGTACATACACAAGGAGGAAAATGGGGTGAGGAACAATAAAGATCTGAAATGGATTTCTATGATTTTCCCCTACAATGATCGATTTTGTCTGTTGGGCAGTATTTTTCCTGCTGGCGTACAACTGTTTACAGTATTAACAAGGTTGTAGACAAAGGAACTGCCAAAGTTTAGGCCCGGATGGAAAGGACAGTAAGTTATCATATACAATTTAAGTTTACAATACACAGCATTTTCTTTAAATGATGTAACGCAGTCGCAAAAAGAAGTTAACAATACTAACACGAGAATAATCAAATTTTTGTTGTTATCCATGTGCAGCAACTAACTGCTTTACAAAAAAGCAAAATAATACAATATATCATCACATATATTTACAGTATAGTAAATATACTTTTTTTGTCAAATTTTACACAAACTATTTACAGGTGAATATACTGCATTAAAAAAAATTGTGTGGCTGACACTAAGAATGAATTTTTGCCTAAATCCATTGCATAACATTGAGTAAGACATGCCTCATTATGCCTGGGAGTCGGGGAAGGATGTAGAAACAAAAACAAAAAACAAAAAACCCAAACAAAACTGAAAACCCCTAAAACCTACAAACCTGGGAGGGTTGCTGGCTGGCACTCTGTCTCCCCGACTAGGACACAGGATAGAAGCTGACTGTTTAGGATGTGTCCTGGGCACCTGGCTCAGTCATGAACAGGTGTTGAGTGAATGGAAGACAGAGCTGTAGCCACTTTGCCCCAAATCTACTGAACTGCATCTCCATCTGGGCAACTAAGGGCATGCCCCTCGGATGGGAGTACTGGCATAACAGGTAGATTATCCAGGACAAAAACATGACTGAGTTCCTGGTTTCCTCTTTAACAAGTCAGGGGAAACATCTACAAACCGAAACGAATTACTTATAATATTTTTAACAGAACTTATGTCAATTACGCAGAAATGGGCAACTTGGTCTAAACTTCAGAATTTCTTTTATAGATTACAAGTATGAAGACTAAAAAAGTGTTGCATTTCTCAAGGGACACATAGTGGTGAGAGGTTTATCTCATGTACATTTTAGTTACTTGGAAAGCTAGATTTTCCTCAAAAGTCAGAAGTTCTTTAAACAAGGTAAATTTTAAACCTTAGTTAAGTTTTCAAACTCCTAGGATGTACTTACTAGTCAAAGGTATTTTTGCATTTCAAAGGCGGCTGAATTTTGATTTGTGCCAATGCTGATCATTTCAGGCGGTATGAAATACTACACCCTTGGTAAACCCGTTTATGGAAATATCAGTATTTTTAACAGTAAACCTCTGGAAGTTTCTTTATTTTGATGGGAAGAGCAAAATAGCATAACACCCACTATCATATGCACCAAACCAACAAACAAAAACAAGAAAAACATCGAACTAAAGTTATCAAAGGCTTACACTGCCTGCTATTCCAGGGCCTAGAAACTGTGAAACTTACCCCAGAAACACTGGGTTGTGGGAGAGCCAAGACCATGGTGGCAGCTTGGCATCCTTGGCACTGGGTTACTGATCTATTTCTAAACACAGTTCTAATTTCAGCTTTTTTATATAGTCATAGTTGCTCTGTCATTATAAACATTTTCTTCTAATGCAGCCTCTACAATAGTTTAAAAACAAAAGTTTAGTAAATTGCACCTGTCTTCAGTATTTCCAACAATTCTATGGTAAACTCATTAATAATACTAAGGTTTTCTTTCCTCTTATTTTGGCAAATAATTCTTACTTTTCCCAGGACTGTAAACAAATTTAAAAAATTAAATTCTTGTTATTTCTGAGTATCAAAACCAATTTTATTTACATTAACATATTACATTGTTACTGTGTGGATAAATGTGAAATATATTATTAAAATCAGAACACTTAAATGTACCATTATTTATTGAATTAGCTGTGGAATTTAATTTACTGAAATCCTCTAATGAAACAGCACTACAGGAAACTCCCCTCTCCCCTAGGTTTATTTTTTCCCCCCTCAAAGCCATTATATCTTAACATATAAAGGGAACCTGGGAGTAGAGGGATTAATATCTTTTTGTAATAAATATGGTTTAGTTCTAAATTGGAACATCCAGATACCAATATGCTCACTGAAGTCAAATTATTTTGTAAACTGCAGGTACCACAAAGAAATTGGATCTGCATTACTATGAAAATTCCAATGCCATGATAATCCATACCACCAGTATAGCAGCAATTCTAACAGCCCCCCTACTGTCATACTAATGCAGGCTGACCAGTCTTTTCACAGTGATTAAATGCAATTCTAGCATATATAACCTACATGTTTTCTTAAAGAGGTTTCTGATTTTTTTGGAGAGGAGGAGGAAGATTAAAAGACATTCAAAATACATCTTATCAAAGAAATTTATAATATACACCATACTCTATTCTTGGAAATTATTTAACAAAATAAAAATATCAGCTACCCTAAATGTCACGTACCATTCCATTTTGCTATGGAGCTAATGCAAACATCTATGAAAATTACCTTCTGGGAACAATTTTCAACACTTTGTTCACTGATTACCCTGCTCAGAATTAGTTAGGAAAGAAGAGGGGGAGGGGAAAAAATATATATATATATATAATTACTATACTTAGTATAGTTTTGGTTTACAAAAAACAAAACACAAAAAAACCACCTTTAGCAAAATTAAAAATTAAAAGATAATCAACTGGAGAAAAAAATAAACTAGTTTGGATGACTGAGTTTGGATAAGGACTTAGAAGCCATAGTTTTAATTCAGTAATGTTAAGATATATGTGGTCGCACTTATTTTCCTGTAATTATTGCTAATACTCAAGTGTTAGTATTTCTTAAGAATCCACTATAAAATATGAAATTTCCCTGCCCTCCCCCCCAAGTACCTTGTCTGTGGCTTTATGGTGTCAAGTCACTGAGGCTTGACCTCTATGGTTCTTTCAGTTTTGTACGGTTAAAAAAAAAGTCCACAGCTAAAAGATTAAACATACTGGGGTTATAATACTATTTCTCTCATAAACTTGTATCTTGAAAAATGTATAAATAGGACTAACACTTTACTCTGTAGGATGAAGAAGGGAAAACCACAGAAGGCAGAGCTCTGTGCAAATGGCTTTCATCACTGGCCAGTAGTAGCAGTATTCAAGAATTCATCCTCTCTTACAATTGAGATTTCTCAGTTAAAAGTTTCCTGACCTCCCACTTTCTTTGCAGTTGTTCTGAACACTTACATATACCAGATACACGCCAAAAGTAGAAGAAAAAAAGTTAAAGAAAAGGCAGCATTAAATTTAGGCAAGGCTTCGAAGAGTTGATCATCTGGCAACATGGCAAACCGGATGGGTTCATTATAAAACAGGAAGTGCAGCATTACAACATGGGGGGAAAGGGCAAGGACAGGGAAGGGGTCACTAGTGAAGAGCCCATGTTAAGTTGATTTTAAAAAAGAAAGCAAGCAAGCTTCACACGATCTTCTTAATGCTATTACGTTTGAAACTGCCAGCGCTTCTTTGCTTCTGCACTTGGCTTGCGGATCCGTGGCGAGTTCGTCCACTGTTACAGTGGCCAGTGGTAGGGGAGAGTTCAACGTTCTCCTTGTCGATTCCTGGAGAAAAAGAGAACAGCCAGTTACTTCTTCTTTTCCTTCCAGGACTGAATTTCATTGCAGTCATGTGTCGCTTAACAACGGGGACACATTCTAGGAAACAATCATTAGGCGATTTTGTCTGTGCAAATATTGTGGAGTGTACTTACATGAACTTAGATAGCATAGCCTACTACACACCAAGGCTATATGGTATAGCCTGTTTCTCCCAGGCAACAAACCTGTACAGCAGGTTACCATATTGTGTACTTTATGTAGTTGTAACACAATGCTAACTATTTGTATATCTAACACAGAAAAGGTACAGTAAAAATACAGTATTATAATCTTTCGGGACCACTGTCTATATGTGTTCTGTTGTTGACTGCAATGTTGTTATGCAGCACATGACTATATTTGTGATAAGATACAACCTGGCAAATTGTTTATGCACATTTCATTTTAATAGTCAATTGCTAAAATGTTTACTAAGTTAATGTCACATGGAAAACTTCACATTTTGTTATGCAAAGTTTGCTATCATAGCAGAAAATAGCACAAGAAAAATGAAAAGACAAGTTGCAAGGAAAAGCTAGAGGCTGGCAGGCTTGAACTAAATGAAAGGCTAGCAGCCACCAGGGAAGACTAGTGCTCCTTCCTCCAAATCATACCAGAAACTTCCAGCAGAGGTCATCTTCTAGCCTTATTCACATCCTCATTCATGTTTATAAACAGAATATACTCTCCAGCAGCAGAAAGTACTGATCTTTCCAGCAAATTTGTCACTTCAAAGAAAACTCAAGATGCTTTTATTTTTTTAATCACAGTGCCTATCCCAAAGAAACTATTTACTGAGAAAATAATATATCACAAAGGTCATACTGTAGAATCTTTGCTTCTTTTCAGCTATGCCAAGTCATTTCACATTCTGCAACCTTAAACAGATGCCATTTATTTCTCTTGAGGAGGAGATTAAACCTCCAAAACCTGGGCCTAACAATGATTGATTATTTATTTAGAGACAGGGTCTTGCCCTGTTGCACAGGCTGCAGTGCAGTGGTGTGATCATAGCTCACTATAACCTTGAACTTCCAGGCTCAAGCTATCCTCTCGCCTCAGCCTCCCAAACAGCTAGGACTACAGGTGCATGCCACCATGCCCAGCTAATTTTAAAATTCTGTCTAGAGATAGAGTCTCACTATGTTGCCAAGGCTGGTCTTGAACTCCTGGTCTCAAGCAATCCTTCCATCTTGGCCTCTCAAAGTTCTGGGATTACAAGCATGAGCCACTGCACCCCACCCCAATTAATATTATAAATAATCTAAGCAGTAACTTCAGAAAAGTAACCAGAAACTAAAATAAGATTTTTATTTTTATCTATCACATTAGGAAAGATTACAAATTGGGTAACAGGACTGTGGTCACCCTTGCGGAAGTAGTGACTTAAGGGGGCATGAGGATGGCTTCTTGGGATGCTGGTAATGTTCTGTTTCTTGATGTAGATGATGGATTTTCAAGTGTGTTTACATTTTAAAAGTTCACTAAGCTGAAAACTTGCAATTTGTGAACTTTTCTGTTAAACATCAATAAAATTTACCCCCAAAATTAGACTGATTATACTTACTGCTGGCATAAATTTTGGCGGGAAAGCAAACAGCTGCAGAACGTTTTAGTAATTTGTATCAAAATGTACATTACTGATTGATATTTACTGATACAAAAAGATGACCACAATTTTTGGAGTAGGAAAAAAACACCCACACACTGTGGGGAGAGGGCGTAGGGCTGGGTAAACATCTGCCAAAATATTTTATCTCTGTCAGAAGCCAAAGGACTAAAAAATATATTTTACCTCTGTATGGCAAGATTTCAGCTAATTTGTACTTTATTCTTCTTTATATATTGAAATTTTAAATCTTAGAATAGAAAAATTTCCATTTTTGGACAAAAAGTAATATTTCAAGTCAAGAAGTATTCATTATGTTACAGAAAATGTACATAGATCTACCCAGTTAGTTATTTGTTGGCTCATGAACAGGAAATGAACTTGGGATGACCTCCCTCTAGGAGCCACTCATCTTTCATTTGGATTCAGCTCTGAATTCGACTCAAGAGTATCAGGCATCTGTAAGCACGTGGCCTGGTTTACACGTGCTCAACAGAGATTTGCTGTCTTGAAAATCTGAACTGCTGTCAAAGGAACATGGGCATTTGTCAGTGACTGTTTATGAACATGTGCACTGCATCAGGCATATGAGTGCAAGGAAAAACATCAGCGACATTTCTCCAGGAGGTGAGCATAGCTGAACCACCACTGAAAATCTGTTCTATTCAAATCTTTTTTAAAACCCTTATTAAATTTTTTAAGGCTAGTCATGTTCTAATCTAATCTAATCTAATCATATGCATAGAAAGATGACTAGAAACATTCATGGAACTTTTCTCTGGGTAACAGAATTCTGGTCTATTTAAATTCTCTTCTGTATATTTATTTGCATCCTCTCCAGAGCTATTTACAAAAGAAATAACAAAACTGAAAGAAAGCTGCTCATGATCTCTGGAATGTGCCTTGAGCTTCTTTGGGATGTATGTTTGTGTAGGCTCTTTTAATTGTCTTGCGTATCTCTACAAGATAAAATTCAACCCATATTTTTTTTTCTCATATCCTTTTCCTTCATGATGCATTATTCTGTCTCTTGCCAGAACTACTTTCTCCTTCCTTGCTTTTAAATTAACTTGCCTATGATTCTACAACTTGTACATCCATCTTCCTCTACTGAGTAAAGGCACTGAGAAGGGTAAAGATCATTATTATTCATTTTTGTTTTCCTGTAAAATCTAGTTATTTTTTCAATACATTGAAAAATTATTTTCAATTAATACTGAATGAACTGAACACTTCCATTTTAAAATGTGATAGCTAGATACCTGTAATTCAGAGCCCCAAAGCATGCAATCCCTGATCTCCAGAGAGTGGTATAATATTTTTAGTTGAAAAGATAGAACTTTTTTTTTTCCCTTTGGCATCCTCCACTTAAAATTATGAATTTGTCAGCGTATTTGACCTTCCATTTCCTCAAATTTGCATTTGGCCTACAAGTTTCAAGTCCAGTAATTCTGAGTTGTTTCTTTAATAGAAAATAAGATTCAGGCAAAACTAGGACCTTAAAAAGACAAAGGTTTGAAACAACTTGGAGCTGGCCCGCATGCAGGAGGGGCATGAAGCATGGATGACCACTAGGAAGGCCCTGTGACTCTCTGCCAGCAATCTGCTACCCTGGGGCTCGTTCTTGTGTGTCTTGCTACTACTAGACCATGGCCTACTCTGAGGGGAAAACAGTCATGACATGGGTGGCAATGCTTCTGTTTGGGCACAGTGTTATTCCTGAGAATTACAATTACATAAATTGTAGTAATGTAGATGAAGTCACTAGGGTGAAGGTATCTTCAAAAAAGTGCTAAGAACATTCCACTTTCTGTTTTGTGAAGCAAATAACCGTCAAACCTCAAATAATTTTAAAGGCCTTATTTATCTCCTGTTAAATGTTGAGGGTACAAAACAAGCTATAAAGTTGTTCACATACTATGACCTCAAGTATATAAAAAAAAGAAACTGGAAGGAAATGCACCAAAATGTTAATAAACAGTGGTTATCTATCTTAGAATGATAGGATTGTGGGTAACTTTTTCCTTTTATTTTTCTGAATTTTCCAATTTTTTTCCTAATGAGCACATTAATTAAAAATGTAAAAGTACGAGTGACTTGTCAGCCCCATCCCTCATAACCAAAAGCTTCAACACTATGTCAAAAGTTGATATTCTACTTCTATTCTCAAATTCATTTTTCATCTAAATTCTTGTTTTTGGAATGTATGTTTTCTTCCTACTTAGTGACCCAACTGTATAAATCACACATAGGTAAATGTGGTGTGACTGTGATTCCTAAGTTCAACTTCACAGCAAAGATGTTTTACTGTAAGGATCAAAGGAGAAACTAACAAAAATCTTGGAAAGTCATTAAAAAAAAACAATTAAAATGCATTACGTTTACACCAAAATATATCTTGAAAAAGCCAAGGTAGTATGAAACAGAATGATCATAGTATCTAGTTCTGGCATTTAAGTTTCTCAGCATAATTCTCACTTCTAAGAATTTTGGCAGCATTCTTTCTTTTTATCCTCTAAAATTAAATCTAGAAATCTCTCTAGGAACTGGTGAAGGATTTCACCTCAATATCCCATAGGAAAAACTCTCAGATTATCTGATAGACCACTCCAATGCAGACAGAACACATCCTGTATTGCTATATGCCATATTTTAAGTTAGTGAGAAGGCCTTGGTGCTGCACTTCTTTTCATCAAAACCCCTTTAAAGTTTTGTATTCTGGTATCTCTTTTGCCCCTAAAGCATTGGCTCTCCTTTCTGGCCTTTGGTGGACAACAAACAGACAAAACTACAAAGTGACTGACAGAAACCCAGAGGCTACCACACAAAGGAAATAAAGCTAAAACTTCTGTGGTCCTGATTTGCCAGCTTAAATGACCCCACAGATATGCTGTGGTCAAACATGCAGCCAATTACAAACATGCAGAGCAGAAACAGCTGGACATTCTGTACAGCAGTATATCAGCAGTACTATGTTTCAATAAATTGTGGTGGTTCCAGATAAAGACAAAATCCTAACTAGAAGGTGTTATTGGCCAAAATTCAGTGAATTTGAGTAGCTGGGGAAAAGGATTAGATTACATTATTGTTATTTAAGTTAGATGTCTATCTTCCCTGCTAGAACATGAGTTCCTTGAAGGCAGGTATCAAGGTTTGTGTATTTTTACAACTAGTGATGTAGCTCCAGCCTGACAATTTTTTAGTCACTCATTTTTAAAAAACACTTTTGGTTTCCCAAACTGAAATAATCAGTTATAATAGTATCATGAAATAATAAAACAACAGAATCGCTTTTAACTCTTGAAAAGCTAAGGAAAAATGGGTTAGGTAATTTGTGAGAAGTTATACTACAAAAATGACAGACTAATAAAAACTGAAATCTCCTGCCACCTGTGCAGGAGCACTAGTAGGTTACCTTACTCTGCATTTAGTTTATTTCATATACAATATGGCAAACTTATTAGAAAACTCTTATTACATACAGGAGAACTTAAACATGTCAGAAGACCTAGGTTTGAGACTTGTTTGGATCAATATTCTTATTTAGTTGTAATTCTTAATCTGGCAATTAAGGATAACAGCAGACTTGTCTATTTCAAAGGGTTGTTAGACAAAATAATCTATGTGAAGAATTTTTGCACACAGATAAAATAATTACTCCACAAATTAAGATGCTCCTAATATCTGAAGTAAAAGACCAGGTGATACAAAGGAGTTTTAGAACAAATACTAGGACTTTAATTTTATGCTAGAATTTGTAAAATGAGTGAAGCTAATATAAATAAGCACAAAATAGAATAAATCTTCTTAGGTAGCTACAGCCTATTTTTAAGCTACAGTAAATACATTCATGGAGGCGTATTAAATATATACTTAGAAATATTTTTATTTTGAGCTAAATATAAAAAATTGTAACTATAAGAATTTTTGGCTTGGTATTGTGGCTCATGCCTGTAATCCTAACATTTTGGGAGGCCAAGGCAGGCAGATCTTTGAGGTCAGGAGTTCGAGACCAGCCTGGCCAAAATGGTGAAACCTCGTCTCTACTGAAAATACAAAAAAAATTAGCCAGGCTTGGTGGAACATGCCTGTAATTCCAGCTACTCAGGAGGCTGAGGCAGGAGAATCGCTTGAACTGGGGAGGCGGAGGTTGCAGTAAGCTGAGATCACACCACTGTACTCCAGCCTGGGCAACAGAGAGAGACTCCGTCTCAAAAAGAAAAAAGAATTTTTAAAAATGACGTTCACCAACTGCTAGCACTTCTTTTTCTGTTTAGGTGTAATCTTTTTGTATATTAATTACAGGTGAATAAAAGAAAAGGCATCTTTTATAAATTAGACATAAATGTGTCAAATTTTTTCATCTTAGTCCTTATAGCTAACTAATGACCATATATTTTTTTTTTTTAATTTTTTTGTGAGACAGAGTATTGCTCTGTCACTCAGGCTGGAGTGCGGTGGTGCGATCTCAGCTCACCAAAGCCTCAACCTCCCCACCTCAGTCCTGTGAATAGCTTTTTGTATTTTTTGTAGAAAGAGGGTTTTGCCACGTTACCCAGGCTGGTTTTCAACTCCTGGACTCAAGTGATCCGCCCACCTTGGCCTCCCAAAGTGCTGTGATTATAGGCGTGAGCCATCGCACCTGGCCATATTCCTTTTTTTAACCACAGGTGATTGAATAGACAGCCAGCTTTAATTTCTGAGGAAACACTGGGGTTGGCTTTCTATTTGGGGAAAACAAGTTATTTTCTAAGCTAAAAAAACTTCATCAAACCACGTATTCTGCTCTTTCTCTATTAACTCTCTCTTGAGTTTCTTATTAACCTGCCTTTGTTAGTCCAGGTATGGGATTGCATCTTCATTGTTCTGGGTGGGTATTAGCAGCTCCTTAAACAAGACAGGCCACACACTGGCCGTGCAATTCCTGTTAAGTACCAAGACCTTATAAAGTGGTGGCTTTACAAGTTCCTAAAGTGCCTAAGGCAGACTGAGCTTACAGGGACCGGTGAGTAAAGTCTCATGCTATGTGCCCAGGATGAGTGTGGGGTAAGCAGTATTTTCGTGCAAAGATGATGAAAATAAAGAGTACCTTGATGAGGGAACAGCTGCATGAAAACTGCTGATTTAGAGCAAGGCAGAGAAGCTTTACAAAGAATGGAAGAAAAAAAAGCAAGTAAGTGATGTTCATAAGATTTAAAAAAGGGTGAAATACAATTAGATACTAGATAATTATAATGTTCCTTGGTTTTCAGAAGGAATCTGGTTTTAATTATTGAATTCTGACCATTAATTTCCTAAATATTACAGTTGGTAAATAAATGATAGAACTTAGAACTTTGTAGATGTATTTTTTTACCACTTATATTAAAATTAAGAATTTTAGTTTAAATTAAGAATTAAGCTAAAAATTAGATTTAAAAATTAGCAAGAATTATACCAAGAAATCGCTCAATTTAAAATTATTTTTCTCCCTTAAACATAGGATAATAACAAAGAAAAAGAAAACAAATCAAGAAAAAAAGGTCAGGTAATACCATAAACAATTCTCTAAAACATTAAAATCATTTCAGAGATCTTAAGTGGCCTCAAAATAGAGACTTTTAGGTTTCTTCTAAAAGGGAGATATTTCTTTTCCTTCTTTTAAAAGACGAGGGTCTCATGATGTTGCCCAGGCCAGACTTGAACTCTTGGGCTCAAGCAATCCTCCCACCTCAGCCTCCCTAGTAGCTGGGACCACAAGCATGTGCCACTGTGCCCAGCTAAGAGGGAGATATTTCAAACCTAGTAAACAGAAGTATTACTGACTCAGAGCCAAGTCTAAGTTTAGAGCAATGGTTTAGATGAAATATCCCTCCGTACACAGAGCTATCAGCACTATTGGTTTAGGAATGTTATGATCACTACCTGATCTAGCCAGCTTCTCAGGAAGAAGGTCTACATTACAGAAGCAAAGTGAGAGAATGACTGGTAGGCTTGGACCAAGGCCAGAAATAAAAATGGAAGAAGGGAGTCTAAAGTAACGATGAACTAAGTATGTCTTTGTTCTAAAAAATTCACGCACCAATACTAACAGTAAAATGAGCTGATCAAACAAAAAAAAGTTAAAGCCTTTTTCCTAGTAAAAAAAAATTTTAGGCCAGGTGCGGTGGCTCATGCCTGTAATTCCCAGCACTTTGGGAGGTGGAGGTGGGAGGATCACAAGGTCAGGAGTTCGAGACCAGCATGGCCAATATGGTGAAACCCTGTCTCCACTAAAAATACAAAAATTAGCCAGGCATGGTAGTGGGTGCCTGTAGTGCCAGCTACTCAGCAGGGTGAAGCAGGAGAATTGCTTGAACCTGGGAGGCGGAGGTTGCAGTGAGCTGAGATCGTGCCACTGCACTCCAGCCTGGGTGACAGAGCAAGACTCCATCTCAAAAAAAAAAAAAAAAAAATTAAATAGATCACGAATTTACTTGTTTTGTTTAAAAACATTTTTGAGGTGAAAAATGTGTTATAAAACTTTTGCCATAATTATTACATGATCCTTCCACACAAATGTCCCTTTGAACTATCAGAATACTATATAGTACAAGGTACAACATGACAGGTATCACAATAGAGGTCAAAATAGTTATCTATGTACATTCTACTGCCCGTTCTGATCTGAAATATATTGAAGGCAGGTATCATGCCCTGGCAGCCCCTCTGCTCCCCTGGGGTCTAAGAGCCCCTTGCATATAGTAAACAATACATATATGTAGGATAAATATCTGGAATTTTGGTATTTTCTACAGTGCACTATAGTATTAATCTTGTATTTAAAATAAAAAAAATAGTGCACACTTAGAATTTGTTAAACAACATGGATCGGAAGGAAATAACTTTCAAGGCAAAAACCGTCAAGTCTCTGGTGATCAAGGATTCTAATACATACTTAACATACACCTACAAAACAGGTATTCAAATGTTTATTGAATTAACTTACAACAATTCTCCTCTGAAGAATATCAGAAGACCCTGATAAAGTATATATTAAATTTTAATGCTTTGGAAATGGATCCTATTAATTCATTTTCTTTCTTTCCTTCTTTTTTTTTTTTTTTTGAGATAGGTTCTCAATCCCTGACTGGAGTGCAGTGGCATGATCACAGCTCACCACAGCCTTGACCTCTCCGGCTCAGGTGATTCTCCCACCCCAGCCTCCCAAGTAGCTGGGACTACAAATGCATGCCACTACGCCTGGCTAATTTTTCTATTTTTGTAGAGATGGGATTTCGTCATGTTGCCCAGGCTGGTCTCAAGCAATCCACCTGCCTCGGCCTCCCAAAAGTGTTAGGATTACAGGCGTGAGCCACCGCACTCAGCCTGGGTTTCATTTTCTAGTTCTAATTCTGGTTCTTCAATTCATGTCCAGCTCAGCTAGACTGGACCTAATAAGGATCATAATATCAAACCTGAAATATCCTTATATATCATAAAGTAAATGGATTCTCTTCAAGATGCTCTTATTGGTGTTTGGGAAAATCCTAAGAGCCAAAGTCTTACATCCATTTGCCTAAAGGGTCACAGTCAATGCAATTCTATATGCACTGAATCCCAGGTACAGTCACTGGCTCCACTGATGCCAAATTCAATTTCTACTAGGGAGGGATTCAGAAGACAACCATTTAGGTACTTTTATATGTAGACTTGTAAAACAGTCCCCCTTAGGATGGAGAATTAGGCTATGCTAATTTGTCAAGAAGAATGCATTTTCAGAGACAATTGCTTTATGTAAGTGACTACCACTTCTCCTCAAAGCTGGTAACTAACGAAATACTGCCCAAATGTTTAATTTAAGTAAGACCTAATGCTGGGGCAGGAGGGGGAGGAGGAGAGGTTCATGAATCTCTTATTTTGTTGATTTGCTAGTAGAAAATGTTGGACAAAAGAAAATACAGCTCAGTAGCTGATCCTGCTAAACATCAAAGATCTAGAATGAAGAGTTTTGCATTGACATGAAACATTTATAGCAAAGGATTGAATGCGTGCAGATCAGCAACATTTGCTTTTTGAAATAGGGCAATGGAACCTTTATCTGTTTAAATCTCAGTTGACTAAGTATAGGTTGATGTTGGGTAATTTGATGGTAAATCAAACTTATGCTCCATATCGGGGAATGACAGAGAACTTCTTTCAATACTACTGCTTGAGACTTGGCTGCTGGGAATGGAGATAAGGAAATGTTTTGGTTTCTATACAGCTAAACAGCAAAGTTGAAACGCCAGACTGAGTTAGGAATCTGGACAACTTTCTTTTGGTTTTTTGATATAAGCAAACTCAACGCCATAAAGAAATGAGATGGCTGAGCGCCGTGGCTCAAGCCTGTAATCCCAGCACTTTGGGAGGCTGAGATGGGTGGATCACCTGAGGTCAGGAGTTCGAGACCAGCCTGGTCAACATGGGGAAACCGGGTTTCTACTAAAAATACAATAATTAGCCAGGCGTGGTGGTGTGCACTTGTAATTCCAGCTACTAGGGAGGCTGAGGCAGGGGAATAGCTTGAACCAAGGAGGCAGAGGTTGCAGTGAGCCAAGACTGCGCCACTGCACTCCAGCCTGGGCTACTGAGCGAGACACTGTCTCCAAAGGGGGAAAAAAAAAAAAAAGGCTGGGCGCAGTGGCTCACGCCTGTAATCCCAGCACTTTGGGAGGCTGAAGTGGGTGGATCACGAGGTCAGGAGATCGAGATCATCCTGGCTAACACCATAAAACCCCATCTCTACTAAAAATACAAAAAATTAGCCAGGTGTGGTGGTGGGCGCCTGTAGTCCCAGCTACTCGGGAGGCTGAGGCAGAAGAATGGCATGAACCTGGGAGGCAGAGGTTGCAGTGAGTCGAGATCGCACCACTGACTCCAGCCTCGGCGACAGAGCGAGACTCTGTCTCAAAAAAAAAAAAAAAAAAGAGAGAGATAAGGATATAAGATTACATGGAGCTAAAGATATGAAGCAATATACCTAATTATAAACAAAAGATCAACTCTTACCATTAAGAGTTATTCTGTAAGAGCAAATGACAAAAACTCAGTGATTGGGCATATAAATTGGGATCCTTTTGTGAACATGAGCCTGTAATTTAGAGATACAAATGGGTTTTGTGGGAGAGTAAGGTTACTTTTGAAAAGATAAACCCTTTCTCTGAAAACATGTAGTAAAATAAACTGTCAAACCAATGACACACAATTGAGTGACAGGAAGAGTTGAACACCACAATACCACTTAACTCTATTACTTTTAAACCTCCTCATCTCTTCTGTGTATAGTCAGAGATTTCCAGCCTGAATAAAGGCACCAACTTTGGAGAGCTAATGGAGGTGACACCATTAGTTTGAAACTGGAACCAAAGCCATAAAACCTATTCTGATTTTAATAAACAATTCTAAGTAAAAGGTTGTAGAGTAAGACTGTTTCACCAAAGCAAATGATTTGGCAAATAGCCAATCAACACTGGACATATGCAACTAATCAAATAGCAGAGAAACCTGTAATGGTTCTTTATTCTCATCCAGATTATTTTATTGTCTCCATTAGTGGGCAAAGATAGGCAGAAATTTCCCTACAATTAGACTGGGTAAAAAAAGTCAATAAAAAAACTAACCATTTTTGACATGTTTAACACCAGTTTAGTAGCCCAAAAGGCAAAAGCTTGGTTAAGATGAAGCAGACTTTTAAAAACTTTTCAACTTCTGTTCAGTAACCCAGAAAATAGTCCAACAGAAAAAAAAGAACTGGTGGGCTTAAGGCAAGGCAGACAGAAGTAATGAATTAGCAATAAACAAACAAAAACAAGGAAATAAAGAAGGAGAAGGGAAAGTAGATAGATAATCAAACAGACAACAGCCATGGAAGGCAATGAATGTAGTACAAAAGGGCCTGGCCTTGGTTCTAGATAAGAACTGTATAAAGCAGTTAACCCAGCTCTTCTAAAATTCAGTCTCCCCAATGTACACAATATTGTGAGCCTAAAACTAAATTACCTGTATGGTTCCCTAGCTCCAAAATGCTAAAAGGTTTATCAGCGGGGAAGCAGGAAGGAATTCAGTGGCTGCAGTATCTGTAAAAAAAGTAAATTTTAAGTTTTGCCCTGGCCTTCACAGCTGAAATGCTGATAATGGGCAAGACCAGAAGCAGACCCCAGGGCAGTGCTTCTCCAATTCTAGTGTGTGTAAGAATCGCCTGGGGTATTTATTAACACACTGACTGCTGGCTGGGCTCTACTTGGGAGTTTTTTGTGCAGATCTGAGGTGAAACTACAGCATCTGCATTTCTAACAAGCTCCCAAATGATGCTGCTGGTCTGGGATCACACGTGGAGAAACACTGTACTAGAGAGTTAGTGGCAGAGGGCAAACAAACCTTGTTACATGGGAAAAAAAGTTAGACTTCTCTTACTTCTGGGGGAAAAAAGGATTACTTGTAAGGCGACTGACAAATGTGGAAATAAAATTTGTTTCCTCTGCTGACCAAAGCTTTGTTGTTAAGCAGAATTTAATAGAATATAGTTAATTACATAATAGTTTATAATATGAATTGGGTATTGCCAAATTCTTCAGAACCTTCAAAATTACATAAGTTGAAATGTTCATGCAAAACTGAGATCATAAACTGGGAATTCTATTTATTGATCTTGAATATCACAGAATAGTTATGTCATTGGATTTTTTTTAAATTTATGCTAACACTTAAAAGAACTATATATAGTAACTTTTCCTTATACAATGATGTGTTTCATAAGTGAACTTTTCAGATAATGGAACGTTAAACAACTAAAGTTTCTTTTATTTTTAACCATTTTAGAAGAATATCTTTCTAAATAGAAAACACAACCATAACAAAAGCTTTCCTTCATTACTCACTGTCATAATAACACACACAATAGTTTAAGTTCTATAATGAATAGCACCTCCAGGGTCAACCAGAGTTGTATGAAACCATTCACTATGACACTGAATAAGTCCAGAGTTCTGTAGGTTTGCCATTTCTCCCACCTTGTTTATCTCAGTCCCACTGGAGCTATTAGCTATTAGTATTTCTCAGTGTATTCAAATCTAAGTTGCATTACGAATTGGTATATATATGCTTATGGGCTTTAAGATGTTATTTTCTTGAGATGAATTTTTTGTTTGATTATTTATTTACTTCCAGATTTTCAGGATGGTCTATGGATGGTTGAGTTATTGCTGGCAGCAGGAAAGTGAGGTACCTAATAGATTTTGTGTTTCTTCTTCTTCTTCTTTTTTTTTTTTTTTTTTTTTTTTTTGATATAGTATGCTGTATCAGAGACAGAGAAAGAGGCCCTTAGGGCAATGTTAGTATATCTAGTAAATAAATTATAGTTCTGTTCACTTACAGAATAATGTGTTTTAAGTTCCTCTTCCTGCCCAAACTCTACAAACTTGTCAACCTTGGAATATCATGTGGACATTTTAACATTTTACTGTCTTATGTACAACTTGTTTGAAAGTAGAAAGCTTCATAGAATAACAAAAGTCAAGTCAGTTACAAGGTAAAGAAGAAATGTAAGGTGAATCTCATAAGAAAAAGGAGCAAAATTTGCTATAAACTGATCACAAGGGAATTCCTAATGTTGGTGTCTTATATTGTTGCTCAAAGTCATATAAAGATCACATTTACTGACCTGGGGAATGCTGGGAAGTTGCAAGTGAGGTCATGGAATTAGAAAGGTTAAGGTTGGCAGTGATACTAAGCTGGCTCTGCAGTGCAGGAGGGTAAGGAGATGTGGGAGTCAGGAGGGATTCTTCACTGGTTTCTTCATCAATTCCAGGCAGGTACGTGTCAATCAAGGCATCAAGAAACTTAACAATAAGCTCAGCATAGTCTGGAATTTGTGTTTGCTGTAATGGAAAATAGGAAATTATTTTAGTTCCTTTTTTTTAAGTAAATCCCCATCTGAAGCCAAAAATATTAATTTTGTTTGGACTTAATTTACTATTTTTCTTCCTTTGTATTACTTATCATTAAAAAAGGGGAGTGGAGTAATATTTATAGACTACCATAGGACTTACAACAGGGAGTTCTATTCAGCTTAAAGCTTCCAGATGAACCTGCATTTTCTGAAAGCCATGCACAAGACAGACTGAATGTAATACTGAGACAATACAATCACCAGGAATGATGTCTAGCCAATTTTCCAAAACAGAGAAAATGAGCAGAGCATCATCATTCCAGCTGCCATTTAGATTCCACTCACTAGACACTGTAAAGGGCTCAGAGGGTTACTGGCAATCCAAATGCAAAAACTTCTGTATGATATACTTATTTCTGTAACTTCAGGCCCATTTTTTAAGTGACAACCTTTGCATGTTGACAGATATTCAAGTAATAGTGAAAGGAAATAAATAAAATACCCAATTCTTAAAAACTGGAACAAGGTTTATACAATTCATATTGATTTAGCACCCCCTGTATCTAAAACACTGCACCAGGAACTGTTTAAGGAAGAAACAGAAACCCTGTCTTCAAGGAACTTTGATCAATTTGGAGAGAGCCCACATACAGAGAAAATGATCATATACATCTTATGTAGCACTACATAAACTAATGCCAATCAAAAAACAAACTGAGGCCAGGTGCGGTGGCTCATGCCTGTAATCCCAGCACTTTGGGAGGCCGAGGTGGGCAGATCACGAGGTCAAGAGATCAAGACCATCCTGGCCAACATGGTGAAACCCTGTTTCTACTAAAAATACAAAAATTAGCTGGGCGTGGTGCTGCATGCCTGTAGTCTCAGCTACTCGGGAGACTGAGGCAGGAGAATCGCTTGAACCTGGGAGGCAGAGGTTGCAGTGAGCCAAGATTGCGCCACTGCACTCCAGCCTGGAGACAGAGTGAGACTCCGTCTCACAAAACAAACAAACAAACAAAAAAACTGAATAAGAGCAAATGAGGACAAATCCAGAGAGAAATTAATCTAATCTAATAGGCTGGAAATAAAAATGTTTTCATGAAATAGATTTTAACCATGGTAATGCTCCTTGCTAGTCATAAGATATCTAACTGTGTGCATTAAGATTATCAAATACACAAGGGACTGTGGCAGAAAAGTATCACAGAGGTTTATCATACTCTTCTGAAAAATTGATCATAAGTTGACTTTGTTTGTAAAAGTGAATACACACACCCCAACACCATGCTGCCTCCTGGAAAAAAACCTTGTGATGAGAAACTTTTTATAAAAGTAACATATGTGTTTATTGTGAATTATTTTTCTGGTTTTCAGCACATTGTGTGTTCTTAAAGCAGGCATACTAATTTGAACAGAAACCTTCATTTTGCCAAAAGTTAGAGAAAAATATATTTTCTTACCTTTGAAAACGGTCCTGCAAACCGCCACAAGCCATTAAAACCAAAACCTGCAACAAATCAAATTTTACTCTTATAACAAGCAAGGTATCTTTTAATTGTAACAGAAATTAAATAAGTCATATAGCTGATGATATATAAACCCTATGTACATGTTGAAAACATGTTTTTAGAATGAGTGTCAAAGCAACTAAAACC
The DNA here is from genome assembly GCF_000001405.40 of Homo sapiens. Lineage (NCBI taxonomy): Eukaryota > Metazoa > Chordata > Mammalia > Primates > Hominidae > Homo > Homo sapiens. Next base: position 437,688 of record NW_025791803.1, on the reverse strand, counting down.
TACTTAAAATATACTCAGCATAAAAAGTTGTCAACCAGTTACATTGGACATACAGTTGAGAGAGTAAAAAAATGGAATATGGAAATAAAAGTATGAACAAGTCTATCCCTTATAAAGAATTCTGTAGTCAGTGCATTCTACAACAGCGCGCATGTTAGCAAGTTCATCAACCATCCTTTTCCAGATACATTTATTTACTTTGCAGGTAAGATGTTTGGTATTGTGGTGGGGATTCTTCATGGTACACCACACTCTGCACAATTCCATGGATTGGATTTAACAAATTTGGATCTTGGCACAATGATAACAGGGTGTTGATCTTAGAGTCCAACAAATTATGCCTAAAAGAAAAAAAAAGTCAACAGAGGAACATTTTAGAGGAAAATTAAATGAAAATATGTAGTGGAAAACATAATATACATTCCCCAGAATAATGTGCCAAAATTAAAGGGAGATGAGTGCTTTTTACTTTCTGGGGCATTTCTTCATTTTCCAAATTTTCTACAATGAACATGTGTGTGTGTCTGTTTTTGTTTGTCTTTTGTTTTTAGTCACCAGGGAAGAAATTGTGAAAACAAACAACTGGTAGTGTCATATAACCATGTGTAACCATATACGGTAAATGTTTGCTTAAGACAAGGTTGGCTCTGTCTGCTACTTAGCATGTTTTAGTACTATTTCCATCTGTTGTATACTGACATGCGCTTAGGAAGTTAAAACTAAATTTAGGATCTGTGCAAAACAAAAAGAAAAAAATTAAATTTAATGTTAATCAGTGCTTTTAAAATGCTGAGTCAGATCAAATAGGGAAAGCAAAATAGTTTAGAGGGAGTGAAATACATGATCCAACTGAAACTTAGGAAAAAAATTATTTCTAACCCGGCTACACTCCATTAATAAAAATAACTGAGTTCTAACTCTCTAAAATTCTAACATGAGATTAAAAAAAGAAAATAATGACATGATATAGAAGGCCTAGATCAGGAAAAGAATTTATTTGAACTATTTAAATTTGAACACTTTGAGGTTAATATTTTTTAGTCCTTAAGAGAGAGTAAACAATTCACCTCCTAAACAGAAGGTCAATTTTGTTTTCACTCAGCTGTGGATAAATACAAAAGCTCTACTAAAAAGTAAACCAAAACAGATATGCTGATTTAGATATAGCAGTCTAATAGTTTGCTTCTAAGTGAGGAAAATGAGCAATGATCATCAAAATAAACCACTTAAATAAATCAACCAGATTTTTTAAAAGTCTTTCCTTATAAACTTTCTAATAGATCTAATAGGTCAAAACTAATCTTAACCCTCATTAAACCTACTGTCTCAAAGCTAAAATCACTATCACAATATCTCATTTTGCCCTCTTTGCAACCAGTGCACATTACTGGGTAAGCATTTAACTTAAAGACAGGCACGAAGGTGAATTAAAATCAAAAGGAGATACTTACACAACAGGAAAGACTTTGGGAAACACAACACTGGCCTCTGCTAAGTATTCATAAAGAATTCGTTGATCAAACTCATCTGTGGTATATTTTACCAGTGTAGCCTGCCAAGATGCAAAAAAGTAAACACACAACATTTTTACTTTGTGGCTGAATTGTTATCTGTTTGGGTGAGAAGTAGAAGACTGTATCCTATTCATGTTTTTAATATTTAAGGGCCTCCTAAAAGTAGACTGGAATAAAAATTTGAGGGTGGGGGACTCAAAAAGGGGAAATCCTTACTAGAACAGTAAGAAGCAGCGCCTGGATCTTCGGATCAGTAAGTACTTCTTCATCCAAGAGAACATTTGATTCAGACACTGAAACTTTACGTAAATGTGGGTGCTGTTGTGATGAGGAAATCCTCTGAGTTTCTGCAGCAAGATAGGGAATTAACGTGATCAAACACCTGGATAATCACTTCACCTAACTATTTCAATGTTACTTCTAAAATTCAACAGCTTTCTTTAGTAGATACTTAAAATACTAACATAAACATCATAGAGAATTACTATTCGCCTACACAAAAGTTTTGGCTACCTATTTACAATGCTGTATATAATATATATGATTAATTTTTACACAAGCTTCAAGATAACTGTCTTGAATGGTAGAGTTTATCTTTTGAGAAATGGCAAACGTTTCTATATTTCACTCTAAAGATTCTAAGAAATGGCTGGAAAATAAACATGACTTTCATGTACTCTCCCACCTTATTTTCAATGATCTAGATCAATACTTTGTTTCTCACCCATTTCATAATCAGTTTCTGCTACTCTCCTCATTTTGGGGGGTGTTGTGATCCCTGATTCCATTTCTTGCCTTTTAGGAGCCTTTGTGTCTGATATCAAGTGATCAAAACTTTTCCTTGTTCCTATAAACAAAAGTTAAGAATATGCAAGTTCATTAACTACAGTGTCTATAAATGGGAATACACTAAAAAGAAAATGTTTGGACATAAAGTGTTTAAGCTTTCACTGAGGACTCAAAGAAAGCTCTAATACATCCCTGGAGCAGTTTCTTTCCTTTATTTTCCATCTTCTCAAAGGGTTTTGTTCCCATAGCTTTCTGTTTCAGGATAGGTTGCACCTTACTGGTGCAAATTAAACTGAGATTGTATTCTGTACACTGGAGGTAAACCAAACTACACTGGAGGTAAATCAACAAATATGATAACTGATAATAAATGCAATGGTAGGCATTATTCAGTAGCAAAGGTCAACTATGTCTGACCAGTCTTTTCAGTTTAAGAAACGCTGCTGGTGCCAAGAACTACTCATTAATACATGAGTAATTTCCAAGCTTAGGAAGAAAGCAGAGTTTGATTTTAATTTTTTAAGCTTTGAAAAAAAGATATGCATGCCTGAAAATACTAAAAACCAGATACACTGGGAGATGCTTCAAAAATAGCAAGTAGCATTATCTCCCATTTGGCTTTTAGTTTCTCTAATCATGTAATCATGTATTAACACTATTTTTTTCTTTTGATAGGGTCTCGCTCTGTGGCCCAGGCTGGAGTGCAGTGATATGATTTCAGCTCACTGCAACCTCCACATCCTGGGCTCAGGTGATCCTCCCACATCAGCCTCCCCAGTAGCTGGGACTACAGGCACACACTACCACACCCAGCTGATTTTTCTATTTTTAGTAGAGACAGGGTTTCTCCATGTTGCCCAGGCTGGTCTCGAACTCCTGGGCTCAAGCAATCCACCTGCCTTGGTCTCCCCAGAGTGCTGGGATTACAGGCATGAGCCACCATGCCCGGCCAACAGTATTATTTTATTAAAGCCAGAATTAAAGCCAATATAATAAAATCTGACAATTTAACACTTGAGAAATACAAAGTCTATTACCTCAAGAATATGAATAACTATTCATAATAGTCATAAATACCAAGGCCAAATAATTTAACAGTCCAAAGGGATCTAGTCCGGCTTCTTCGTTTCATGCACATGTACACTGATGAAGCCATGAGCAGTTAAGTAATTAGTCTGAGGTAGCATGGCTAGGGATCTAGACAATGACCAGATGGAAAACTCAGGTTTTCTAAAACCAGTCAGTGCTTTCCAAAGTACATGAGATTGGGACACTACTTTCTACATTTAGTTTTCCTTCCTTTCTCACTTGTCCTTTTTATTTTATTCTCTGCATTCTTCCTGGAAGATCTCATTCTGCTTCCATAGCTTCAACTATCTGTGAGCTAATCAATTCTAAATGTTTACTTGTTTACTTTCTTCCCGAATTCCAGGTACATCTTGTGGTTTATCTCTTAGATATATACTCATAGATGTCTTGAAAATATATCAAATGTAATCAACCTAAATTTATCATGTACTGTGAACGTATTAGTCCTGATCTCTATGAATGGTATCACTATCTAGACAGTTTTTAAAACTAAAAGCTTCTGACATCCTTCACAGTCTTCTCCCCTTCCCCACCTGCAACAATTGGTCACTAAGTCATGTCCATTGTACTTCAGAAACCTATTCCAAACCTGATTTTTGTTTTTTTTGAGACAGGGTCTGACTATGCTGCCCAGGTCAGCCTCAAACAATCCTCCTGCCTTGGCCTCCTGAGTTCCTGGGACTAGAGGTGTGTACCATTATGCCCAGCTCCAAACCTGCTGGTTCTTCTCCATTCTCCCATTGCTCCTGCATTAGTGCGGGGCCCACACCATTTTTTTTGCTTGGACTGCTATATCAATTTTATTAAATGGTTCCCTTGCTAAAAATCTCTTCCTGTCTCTCCACATTGCTGCTAGAAAAACTTGGCAAAAATTAAAATTTGGTCATGTTCTTCTCCTACTTAAATACCTCAGCTGAATGTGTGATAAGGGTAAATATCTTACCATGGCATACAGTCGTTTCCAATCGAGTTCTAGTCCTTCTTCTCATCTCATTTCCTACCCCATTCCCCATGATGCCATGATGTATCATCAGTTGCTTTCCTGCCTTTTCTTTATTCTTGCTATTCCCCACTGCTCTTAAACATATGCCCCTACTTATCCTGCTATTTTGCAAGCATATATTAAATCTTTATGACACAGCCCAAATGTTATCTCCTCTCTGCAGTTTTTTTTCTTCTAATTTCCCCAGATCTCCAGCTTCCTCCATCAAGACATATCATTTTAATGGCACCTGGAGTTGCTGTTGTGATTGGCTGATTATAAGTCTTGGACACAAATTACAAAGTCTTCCAGGGCAGTTACCTTATCTTTTTCACTTAGTACATGGGTTGAATGAATTCAATATATTTTTTTCTGAGGTTAGTTTTTCATTTACAACTTCATTGGCATGAAAATCCAGAATTACAAAACACAAAGTAACCAGGAAACTCCTAAATGATTATTTATGGCAAGGTACTAACAGAAGGGAACTCAAACAACAGTAACACACCTATGTGGCTAGTAACTGTGATTGACACATTCATGGTTTCTATTTCTTTCACGGTTTACTGGCACGTTATTTATGTTACAATTTGTTGTTTGTTCACTAATTTCCTTATGAACACAAACATTTTTCCAATACCTAAAGATACTTAAATATGTTTGCATGGATAACTGAAATCTGTTGAACCATTCAGTGCTGGCTACTGAAATACAGATCCTAATGTATTCCAGTAACAATTACAATTTTACCCAATGGAATGCAAGAACATCTCTGCATTTCCTCTGAGGAGCGATGTAAGATCAGTGTTTTTGTTTGTTTGTTTGTTTGGAGTCGGGGTCCCACTCTGTCACCCAGGCTGGAGTGCAGTGGTGCAATCTTGGCTTACTGCTACCCCCACCTCCTGGGCTCAAGTGATCTTCCCAAGTAGCTGGGACTACAGGTGCTCGTCACCATGCCCAGCTAAGTTTTGTATTTTTTGTAGAGATGGGTTTTGTCATGTTGCCCAGGCTGGTCTTGAACTCCTGGACTCGAGCAATCCTCCCACCTGAGTCCCTCAAAGTGCTGGGATTATGGGCGTGAGCCACTGCACCTGGCCTAGTGGGTTTTTTCATTCATTTACTTTCAGTTACTAAAATGGAAATGAGTCTCGCAGCATTTCAGGTGTACTTCTCAGAGACAAAAATTCTATAAATGTTGATGTAACTGAGCAATCTTAATTTCAAGAATCCTATCTTCCGGCCGGGCATGGTGGCTCATGCCTGTAATCTCAGCACTTTGGGAGGCCGAGGAGGGTGTATCACCTGAGGTCAGGAGTTCAAGACTAGCCTGGCCAACATGGTGAAACTCTGTCTCTACTAAAAATACAAAAGTTAGCCAGATGTGGTGACGTGTGCCTGTAAACCCAGCTACTAGGGAGGATGAGGCAGGAGAATTGCTTGAGCCCGGGAGGCAGAGGTTGCAGTGAGCTGAGATTGCGCCACTGCACTCCAGCCTGGGTGAACAGAACAAGACTTCATATCAAGAAAAGAAAAAAGAAAAAAAAGAATCCTATTTTCTTTCGGTAATTGAGAAGCATGTCTTTTTGTCTTTTCAAAGAAAGCACGGCAAATAGTACTATTACAGCTTCATACCATATTCATATATTCTCTCAGATGATAATTTTGGGAAGTATTACAGTATATCATTAAATCCCCTGAGTGCAGCAAGACTCTTCCTTTCTTATAGGTATTTATCTAATATGTCTCAGAGTCCCATTCCCTGCTGGCCAGCAAAGGCAAAACAAAATAAGGAGAGTCACAATATTTAGTATAAGATTCAGAAAAAACTGTTTCAAGGTCCCATTCTCATTTCTCTATCTCAACTTATAATGCTTAACTGATCTATCAAACTCTCTTTTAAATGGCATCAAAAACTTTGCTACACTGACATGGAAAATTTTGATAATCCTGAAATTTCAAATAATTTTCCAAGAGTAAAAATATCTATTTTTTTAAATAATAAAAAAAATCTACATAATTTAGATAAACTAACCAAGCAACTTCTTAGTGTTGGCCTGAGAAGGTTGCCCCATGTCCAGGCTCATGGATTTCCTGGCTCGGGGACTGGTCTGGCCGACAGTTGGATAGGTGGCTGCAAGGTATCCTTCAGAACCTTTGGGAGAGGACCATGGCTGAGTCTCCTTTAGTGTCCTGAAAGATGAAAACAATAGAGAAAAATTAATTAATATGGTGACAAATACAACCATCGTTTGCTCCTTCCAAGTGGCTGTCCTATTTCCTAACAACAGCAATCAATTAATTTTAAAATTGCACTTTAAAGGGCTTTAGGATACAAACTCTTGGTGTATCCCTAGGAATTATCAACTTTCTTGCCATAGTATCTTGCACATAGTAGGTACTCACCAAATGCTGAACAAAAAGATCTGTACTGCAATTTTTAAAAGCTGACAAATAAAAAGGTATAGCAACAGGGGTGTCCAATCTCTTAGCTTTCCTGGGCCACACTGGAATTAGAAGAATATACTGGGCCACATATAAAATACACTAACACTAACTACAGTTGATGAGCTTAAAAAAAAAAAAAAACCCCAAAAAATCACTTAATGTTTTAAGAAAGTTTACAAATTTGTGTTGGGCTGCATTCAAAGCCATCCTGGGCTGCGTGCGGCCTGCAGGCCATGGGTTGAGCAAGCTTGGTGTACAACATGATGTTTTAAAATATGTTTACATTGGCTGGGCGCTGTGGCTCACGCCTGTAATCCCAACACTTTGGGAGGCCGAGGCAGGCGGATCACCTGAGGTCAGGAGTTCAAGACCAGCTTGCCCAACATGGTGAAACCCCATCTCTACAAAAATACAAAAATTAGCTGGGCATGGTGGCACGCGCCTGTAATCCCAGCTACTCGGGAGGATGAGGCAGGAGAATCGCTTGAACCCAGGAGGCGGAGGTTGTAGTGAGCCGAGATTGTGTTACTGCACTCCAGCCTGGGCGACAGAGCAAGACTCTGTCTCAAAAAAAATTAATAAAGAAAAATAAAAATAAATAAAATGTTTACATTGTAGAATGGCTAAATCAAGCAAATTAACATATGTGTTACCTCATATATTTATCTTTTGTGGTGAGAATACTTAAAATCTACTCGTAGCTATTTTCAAGTATAAAATACATTAACTGTAGTTATGTTGATAAAAGACCTTGAACTTATTGCACTGATTTTTTTAAATCAGAAAAAATTAAGTCTAAATAGGCAATTGTTTAAAAACCAAGAAAATCAGATATTAATTTATACTTTGACAGGGGAACACAGGCAAACTATTTTACCCTTTCTATAACAAAAAGGGCATATCTCAAAGTAATATAATAATGGGACTGACGAAAGTAAGACTATTGAATACCATGTTTGAAAAATTTTTGCGTACATTGTTAGAATCTTAAGGAAATTGTTGAAGTCTTTTTATCAAAAAGCAGGATGTTGATAAATGGAATGATACGAGTTTTGCGAACAGAAGATAACTTTTCTGTGTTCAACACTGTCCCTAAACCTTAAAGATATTTTTATTTAATTGAAAATACAGAAAAATCCCCCAATGATGCCATTTTCATGAAATTTCTCTAAATTATACTGAAAAATATACTACCCAAACCCATGTATAGCAGATATAATTTTTACCATCTATGTCTACATTATAGAAAACTTTTAAATAACTTGTGTGATATGAGTAAATACAACAAATGTGTTAGCATGCCTGTATTTTTACAAATCTGTATAGATTCGTTCTCTATCCAAGCACGTAATGTGTTGTTTATATTTCGCGTTAGTTTTTTTCCCCAGGCCCTTCCCCTGCAACCTAATATTTTCAAGAGCATCTCTTTTCATTGTTCATTTGGTCTGTGCTTCAGAGGCAAACTAATGTTAACATTAGCACAATCAGACTGGAAGAATAACTTTCCTACTAACCCACATAAAATACCACACATTTATAAAATGAGTTTCACTTACTCTTCCTAGGCCATCTCTAGATTTCTCCCATGTTACCTTCTAGATTACTCTGCTGCTTGCCTCCATTAGTTGGAAAATTGAAACTTGATTATGATTATGTAATTATAGGAGAGTAAATCCACTTACCTATAGGAAGGGTCACCATGATGAATGGGATATGTATCCATAGGAACATTTTCCATTGAAATATCAGTAAGAAGAAGTGACTTTCTATGTTTTAGGCTGCAGCGACTTCGAACTTCTTCAGACACTGTAAGTAAAGCTAAAAGGAAAACGGTGGCAGGTTAAAAAATTTAACAAATCACAAGTGTGACTTAAAACAGGATGAACTTCTTACAGTCTCCTAAAGAGCATAGTACCTGTTAAATGTGCACATATTTTGGAAGACTACATAAATGTGAAATATACAGAGAGATTTAATAAGCATCTTTTATTTTCCAAGTTCTTTAATATACATTTGATCTTTAACAAACACAAAGTAGGCAGGGCAGGTATTATTAAGCTGAATGAGAAAAAATACTGAGATGTTAAATGATTTGCTCAAGATGATACGGTTCAAACAAAAAAGTTGAACAAATACAAGTCTGTGAAACTGAGAATCAGCACTTTCTATCAAACAACTATGTTCAAGAATTGTATTGTACATAAGTGCTAAGTGTTGCTGAGTAGAGAAACAAAAATCAGATAAGAGCAAATAGGAAGCTTTAATGGAATGGTGGGGATAGGGCAGATACTCCAGATAAAATGACATAAGGAATGAATATTGAAGAGGCAGTTGCTTGTAGGAGATGGCAAGTAGATTAGCTTAAAATAGCTCATCCATTTGGAGTGGTAATAAAAAATGAGGCTCATGAAATTTAGAGAAAGATAACAGAACTGAGAGGGCTATTTAAGGACCCAGGGTGCTAGACTGAAGCATTCAGATTTTATGACAGATAACAGAGAGCCACTGTAGTGTCTTGAACCAAAGATGACCAAGGGAACACATTTCAGATTTTAATGGGAATTAAATTTTTTCCTACAGAAAAATGTTCTGGCAAAACTCTCAAAATTGTAACCACCACTAAAGGACTAGACTGTGAACTTTCTGCTCTGCCACGCAACCGCCAAAAAACCTATAGGTATTTGTACTTTTTGGGTGATCCTTATATATAGATGTAGCAAGATTAATTTTGTTTATTTTGTGTTTTTACCTGCTAAGTAGGCCACGCTCTGTGTATTCACTTCAAATTTGTCACAATTTCTGTGTTTGTTAACCAGAGTTAGTAGTGTATGTAAAATTCTGACTGTTCTTGCAACAATAGCAGGTGAAGGATGCCTGTACCCTACAAAAAACAAACAAACAAACAAACAAACAAGTAAGAATTAATTTTTTGAACAAGCATCTGCTGAGGTCTTCTTCCCTGACTAACAACTCTGCAAGGAAAGGAAATATAACTCCTACTTTCCAAGAATAGCCATTTGGGAAGGTAAAACATGCATATGTGAATGTGAATAATTAATTATGTATAAGATTAAGTACCAAAAATGTGTAGAATATAATATTCCCTAGAACTCTACAGTACTCCAGGAAGAGGAAAATTACAAAACATGATAGTCTTTCAGATCTTCTATTCCCTAAAGCAGCACAGAGATTAAAAAAAAAAATCTATGTATTATAATTCTCCTTAAGATTTCATTTGAAAATAGGGTTCTTTTACAAAAACATTTTTTTTTTTTTAAGAAAAGATGTCCCTTTAATTTTACTTTTGTCAAAACATTTTCAAGATTACTTTAATTTTTACAATATCATTTAAGGGAAAACTAGTGAGTTTGTTGAAGAAAACAAGAAACAGATTTTTTTAAAGCCATTGACCACGAAATAAGCATTATGTTTCAAAGACCATGAAAAAGTTATTTGTCTCTTTTTGGTCTCAACTAGCGAGGGAGGTGAGACCAAACTGCTCAACTGCTGGACAATCTCAGCAAACACACCCACTGTTGAGACTTATTGAGTGACTCAATGTTGGCTAGAATTGTCCATTTAGCTGGAGGGGAAGAGGGAGGGAAGGATGGATGGAGGAGTGAAGTATGGAAGCAGGGATCAGGCCACTTCCCGTACCTCTCCCAAACTCCAAAGGCAATGATCACATTGGAGGGTCAGCTAAACACAAAGGGAAGTGAAGAAAGAAGTTTGAAGATTTTCCTGTTTCCAAAAATCACATACTTTCCTCTTTTGAGTATTCTATAGAATAACTCTCTACATTTCCTAGTTTGTGGAAATTTTCTCTATGGCATAACTACTCTAAATTGTGCAATTTTCCTCATATCAGACTTATTTTTCTCTATACCTGGTTCCCTAGCAAACCTGAGCTTTATTTATATATCTGATATGCACCCCATCTCCACAGCTGGCATTCAATTGCAACTCTAAATTCTAAAGTGCTCAGAGTCAATATAATGCACTGACGATTCAGACCTGACTGGGCATTTTCACTGCATAAATCTAAAAAGTAAACAATCTCATTATGTTTGAGAGGATGGATGGGGAGAAGACTGATCTATATTTCCACTAAGGTAGCCAAGAAATATTCACATGAAGGGACAATGGGAGAGGAGCTGGCAAGGGTTTGGGCAGTACTTAGAAGGAAGATGCATTCCTTATCATATAGATTACATATGGCAGTGAATTGACAGAGGATTCACTGGGACATCTTCAGAAAGTAAGTAATGTGTTTCAACACCACTAAAGTGTTAAAATAGGCTTCTTTTCTTCTCGCCAGTATGAAAAGTTAGACAGGAGTCACTCCCAAGAATAGTAAAGGACACTCACTGGGGACAGTCATGATGGGTGAAGAAGGGATACATATTTTTAAGGCAGCAGGAATAAATTTCATCATCCTTCCCAGAAGACAGCAAGAATTATTCAAGGTGGCCACCAAGTCTGGAAACCAGGCAAATCTTTTAACAAATGGTTTATCGATATGTTATAATGAATGACAAAATATTAGTATCTAATTCTAGACTTTATGGCCACCCCATAGGATGAATCTTTGGAACAGAAAAAAAAATAAAGAATTTGTTTTCTCATAATCATAAAGCTGTTATACTCAGTCCAGGCACAGCTAGTACAACATTCTGCTCAACCCCACAGGCTCCATTCCCTTTACCACATATTTATAATATGTTTGGGTCACTCATAGGAGTGAAACACTGTCAGCATCAATAGTTAGCAGCACTTTCAAAATACATTTTATTGTCCCGAATAGAAACCTTAACTATTCAATTAGTCCAGTAATTCCAAATGGTCTTATTACTTCTATACATAAGATATGATCTTACAACATTTATGTAGCTAAATACTTAACTTCCCATGCTTTTTGAGGATTCCCAAAAGACTTTAGGGGGTTCCCAAGACTTTCAGGGGTTTTTTTTTTCACAATAAAAGAAAGGAACAGTGTCAATCCATAGAGTCAGACCAGCAGTTTAATAAGATCCTCTTCATAGCTCAGTTATCAGTGCATACAGAGATTCAATATAGCCCCATCGCTCTCAGTTATTAGAATCTGAGAGGGATAAGAGCAATAACTATTGTTTAAAAGCCTAAGAGTGAAAACAGATGTAAAAAAAAAAAAAAAAAAAAAAGCCAAATTCTTTCATCCCAGGATGTCTGAAAAGGAGAGACTCTATGGAGTGTGGATGTAGAAAAGGAGTTATTCCTACCGGAAAAAAATGAACTGTGGACACAGTCACTCAAGACTAGAGAAACAACCACTATGAGTAAGTAGCTTCAATTTCACTGTTACCAGGAGGGCACACACCAGAAAGCCTGGGACAAAGCCTGGGCTAGAGCCCTCAGGATTCATTCTCAGGCTTCCTGGTGCTGTGGTTCAACAGCCTTTGTGGGGATGGGGAGAACCAGAGACTATCACCATCACATGTAAAAAATATTACCACAGCAACAGCTGTCAAAAACCAGCTGGAGCTGAAGTTACACACCATTTGAAATCCACACTGTACTTGCTTTCTTGTGATGGGCTTGAGACATGTGCAGAGACACCTTAAACATGTGTAGGTGACCACCCTTTTGAAAGGCAGAGGAGGGCCTCCTCATGAACTCTTTCTACTCATTTGTTTTCCTATCAGTTCACCATTTCAACTAGAAAAGATGCTGCAAGCTACCTCAGCTAGCTTCTAATTTGGACACAGCACCAATACTACACACACTACTGAATGAATGACCACATCTTCCTGGTTCTTCCTTTGGGCAGGGTCAATATGCTTCTTTGGACTGAATAGGTGTGATCTTGTTTGAGAAAAGTGTGTAAACGTAGGGCCAGATTTTGTTCGTCTCCGTTCCGGAAAATTGGTGGAGCACTCCTCGGCTCTTGTATAATTCAATGACTGGCTTTGCCACGTCTTTGTACTGTCTTAGCCTGGCAGCAACTGCTTCGGGTTTATCATCCTCCTGCTGGACTAATGGTTCACCAGTGACGTCATCAATACCATGTACATGAGGTGGATTGAAGTCCAGGTTATATACCCTTCCGCTAGGAGGGTGAATCCAACGGCGGCTGAGACGATCTTTAAGTGTTTCAAATGGAATATTCAAACTGATCACTAGATCCACTTCACAGATTTTGTCCAGGGCTTCGGCTTGTCCTAATGTCCTAGGAAAACCATCAAGGAGCCAGTGCTGGCCACGCCTATTCTCCAACTCAGACATCATTAGGCGTGTGATCACATGGTCTGGAACCAAAAGACTTTTCTCTATATACTGCTTTGCCATCTCACCAACTTCGGTGCTGGCCTTGATGTTCTCCCGCAAGAAGTGGCCGCTGGAGAGATGCTGGAGACCAAAGTTCTGGGCGATCCTCTGGCACACGGTGCCCTTGCCCGAGCCGGGCGGCCCGAGGATGACCGCGCGCAGGAGTTTGGAAGCCATTGCCTTCGCGAGGAGGGGGGCGGTCAAACGCGCAGCCCCGACCGCGGCCCCGGAGGGAGCCCCGGGAACTTTGTTTCTCGGCCCCCTACCTCTGGCACCCTCCGCTCTCACTGGGACTCGCCGGCCGCCCCTACAGGGGGAAGGAGAGACTTTTAAGACAACCCCTCCCCTCAGCCCAGCGCCGGGACCGAGTCGCAGGCGGAATACAAAAACATTTTTAATTAAAAGAAAAGCTGATGACATAGGAAGTATATGCTCTAAGAGCCCAATAAATAGGGTTGATTAGAGGATAAATTTGATCTTTGGCCAGCTTTTAATCATTAATCCTTCCCCCATTTAAAAATAGGTGATTTGAACATGGAAAGTATCTGGTCTTCTTTTCTTTTCTTGTCTTTTAAGACAGAGTGTCACTCTGTCACAAAGGCTGGAGTGCAGTGGTAGGATCTTGGCTCACTGCAACCTCTGCCTCCCAGGTTCAAGCGATTCTTGTGCCTCAGCCTCCTGAGTGGCTGAAACTACAGGTTTGCACCACCTCACCTGCCTAATTTTTGTATTTTTAGTAGAGATGGGGTTTCACCGTGTTGGCCAGGCTGGTCTTGAACTCCTGCCTTCAAGCAGGGGTTTCACCATGTTGGCCAGGCTGGTCTTGAACTCTTGGCCTCAAGCAATCCACCTGCCTCAGCCTCCCAAAGTGTTGGGATTACAGGCATGAGCCGCTGCACCCAGCCTGGTATTCTTTTAGATATAAAGAATAATTAAGCACTTTATTAGCCCAGTTACAATTACTTATCTTGGTATCCTTTAGTAAGGTAGTATTTTTTGAGAAATCCCCATTGACCTTAGAGATTAACACTGTCAATATTTTTTGTAGAAATTTCATAAGAAAGTGAAATCAAATGCATACATTCACAATAGTGGGTGTATGCATATCTCTCTCTCTCTCATAAAAACTGGGAGAATCTCCATGGTCCCTCAAGCCTATGATTTAAATTAATACAAAATTGTTGACTCAAGCTATAGCTTGAATCTCTATTGTGGCCAAATCCACTTCTGAGACCACTGGGGTTCATGCCAGCTCCTTATCCCAGGTCTTACTTTATCCTGCTTTGCTTCTGACCCACCACTACATGCTGTTCTTATTAACTGCAGTCTCTGGCCATGACTGCCCCATGTTAATGAACCAAAGTTAACAAGCTGTGAAGTCAGCAATGGGGAGTAAAACCAGGTTAGGAAGTGAATGAGCGGGCTCTGAGGAATAGCTGGAGATCACTGGCTATAAGCAATATAGAAAGGGGTGAGAATAGGGTGCCAGAAAGGTGATGTACAATGGTATAAAATAATAGTATTAATCAACAATAAACTATAAACAAGTTGAAGAAAATCTGTGATCAAATCTCTTAACATTTTCTAATATAAATTATTCAAATAACACTTAGTGATTTGCAGTCTGTTTCATTTTGAAAATCAGTAAGATACTTAGGTATTGTTACTATTAATATAGCTATTATCAGACTCAGTATGTAGGTTTTTGTAAGAATCAACACTTTTTTTTTTTTTTTTTTAAAGGCAGGGTCTCACTCTGTCACCCAGGCTGGAGTGCAGTGGCACGATCATGGCCCACTGCAGCCTTGACCTCCTGGGCTCAAGTGATTCTCCTTCCTCAGCATCCCAAGTAGCTGGCACTATAGGCATGTGCCACCGCACCTGGCTAATGTTTTTATTTTTTGTAGAAAGGGGGTTTCACCATATTGCCCAGGCTGGTCTCGAACTCCTAAGCTCAAGAGATCCTTCTGCTTTGGCCTCCCAGAGTGCTGGGACTACAGGTGTGAGCCACCATACCCAGCCAGAATAAACTCTTTTGTTTTTCAGGCAAATTTGATATTTGAATTGGAAATGAAGCTCTCTTAAAACACATATTGAATAAAACACAACTCATTAAGACAGATATAGTTTGCATTTATTTATTTATTTTTTGAGACAAAGTCTCACTCTGTTACCTAGGGCTGAGTGCAGTGGTGTGATCACGGCTCACTGTAGCCTCGACTTCCCAGGCTCAAGCAATCCTTCCATCTATGCCTCCTAAGTAGCTGGGACTACAAGCACGTGCCACCATGCCTGGCTAATTTTTAAATTTTCTGTAGAGATGAAGTCTCACTATGTTGCCCAGGCTGGCCTCAAACTCCTAGCCTCAAGTGATCCTCCTGCCTCAGCCTCCCAAAATGTTGGTATTACAGACGTGAGCCACCACGCCTGGCCTAGTTTGCATTTAAAGTAAGACATAAGGGCTAACTTACTTCAATTTATTTCAAGTAATCACTTATTCAAATTACTTCTGGTTTCTTAATACTACTTCATAAAAATATTCTAAATAAGGCTTTTTTACCTTTTAAAAGGTGTCCAACCAATGCAAAGTTAAAGTTAGAGTTGAAATTGAGTCCAACAAAATGATCCATTTGCTTGCAGTGCCACTCCAGAGGATTCCGGATTGCCATAAATACTTCCTCTGGACTCTATTAAAGATAATCATGAGATGGTTGATGAGGTTCACACAGTAGCTTTCTTTAAAGGCTCACTTAATTTTGTGTTCAATAGTATGACAAGATAAGTAATCCTTTCAATTTGAGAGAAATTATTTTCAGTTGACTGCAGAAAACCACAGAACATTTTAGCTACTACAAATTAACTGGTGCAAGACAGTCAAGCATATAAATAAGAAGATGGTGGAAGATGAAATCACTTTTATTTACAATACAAAATAAATGACTGTCAATTTACATCCCGGTGACTTTTAACATGCTTATTAACTCTGATGCCTAGCATCCAAAGGGCACTAGAATCAATATTAGCTCCCGCTACTGGGCTGTTTTGAAGATGAAAATACCGAGGCAGATGCCCCATTTGCAATGCTCCATTTGCAAATATTCTTTTTTTGAGATGGAGTCTTACTCTGTCGCCCAGGCTGGAGTGCAGTGGCACCACCTTGGCTCACTGCAACCTCCTGGGTTCAAGAGATCTTCCCACCTCAGCCTCCCAGGTCGCTGGAGTTACAAACATGTGCCACCCTGGCTAATTTTTGTATTTTTAGTAGAGACAGGGTGTCACCATGTTGGCCAGGCTGGTCTCGAACTCCTAACCTCAAGTGATCCTCCCAACTCGGCCTCCCAGAGTGCTGGAATTACAAACATGCGCCATTGCACCCGGCCAATTTGCAAATATTCTTAACATATAAATAGCCAACAACTAGATATCGCTGACCACCACTGTCCCAAAACAGTTTTAGAAAAACGGCAATGAGAATTAGGACAGAGGGGTTCTAGTCCCAAAACAGATGTACAAGCATGGGCAAGTTACTTAACTTCTTAGTTCCTTTCTAATTTGCAAAATGGAGGTCTGATTAATAAACTCCATAAGACCTCTTACCTCTAAAATTTTGCTTCTATATTTTTCAGACCCATATCTGTTCCAGGTTCACACTACATCTGGTAGACTGAACTAATAATGTTTAGACCAAGTATCTTTTTACACTTAAAACCATAATCCTGTTCTTTGTACCCACAGTTCAGTTAATTTCACTTCAAGCAAATCTCACTGTATATACACATTCTTTTAAAAACATTCCCCTCTTTTCTCCTAGACCCTTCCCATTTTTATCCAAAGACAAAAGGGACGTAATTTCATACTATTTTATTCTCTCCTCTATTCTCTATGAACTAAAATCCAACCCCAATCAGATCTCCATTTTACAAATTAGAAAGGAACTAAGAAGTAATTTGCCCATGTTCATATATATATACACACACACATGCACACGTGCACACACACACACACACCCCATTAGCACCCCTCCTAACATTTATTAACCTTAATTGGAGTTGGATTTTACATATTTTATGTGTGTACATACACACACACACACACACACACACACACACACACACTTTATATATATATATACACATACATTACATATATATGTGTGTATGTAATATATGTATACACACTTTTTTTTGGAGACAGGGTCTTGCTCTGTTGCCCAAGCTGGAGTGCAGTGGCGTGATCTCAGCTCACTGCAACCTCTGCCTCCCAGGCTCAAGCAATCCTCCTACCTCACCTCCCGAGTAGCTGGGATTGTAGGTGCATGCCACCATGCCTAGCTAATTTTTGCCTTTTTTGTAGAGATGGGGTTTTGCAAGTTGCCCAGGCTGTTCTCTAACTCCTGAGCTCAACTGATCCACCTGTCTTGGCCTCCCAAAGTGCTGGGACTACAGGTATGAGCCACCACTCCTGGCCACTAATGGTATATTTTAAAGTAAGATTAGACAGAATAAAAAAACTAGTAAAATTAAGTACCCAAAAGTTTCCTTTAGACTCTCCAACTTCCTTATCTACTATGAATTATACGTATTTTTCATTAAGTGGCATTATTAAGTAAAACTAAGATTACTTTTAGATTATTTCTTCACGTGTGAAATGGGGGGCAGAGAATGCTAACCTTTACCTTAAGGTTATGAAAATTAAAAATAAATGTATAGTGTTTAGCATACGGCCTGGCATGGTAGCTATTAATATTATTACCATGTATTGTTTATGCTCATTCTGTAAGGATGATCATGTATTATTTATCCTTATTCTGTAATTCTACTAGTATTAGGCCAGTACTGTTTTTTTTTTGTTTTTTTTTTTTTGCTATTTTTATGTAAAAAATATGCATTCAAGTTTACATAGTTCTTTATGAGCTGGTAAGGAAATATACTCACAATAAGTTACATTATACAAATTCCTACTTAAGTTATGGACTTCTTGTGATTTTAAAAGAATAGCAACAAGAAAAGATGGAAGAGTACTAAATTTGAGTAATCTAGGAACCTCAAGGCAAAGTTTGCTTACCTTGTCATTGAATATACGGAGACTATCTAAAGTATGCAGGTTTTGTTCAAGAAGTGCGGTACCTGCTGAATACAAGTTGACCTCATCAAGCTGCAGCACAGCCACAGCTACCCAAAAGAGGGCTTTGTGCAGAGGCGAGTCCTGGCAAAGAAGATATGTTTGAGGCTAGTAAGATGAATCATGACATAGTCTCTTTCAAAACACACTGCAGTTAAAAATAAAGCAGCTTATCTTCCTAAATTACCCATGTTTTCTCTTTTGGGGAAGATAAAGATATGAGTAAGCTCTTCACTTTTCCATATGTATAACTAAAGACACTGTTAGCTGGACTGAGAACGTTACTTAGCACCTCCTTTGACTTCTCCCTGTTCTTTGATTTCTAAATCCAGTCACCAAGGTTTGTTGATTCTTCTAGAGTAGTCTCTTTTGTATCTTTTGTCATTTCTTTCTTATTGCTAATGACATTACCACATGCCAACCTTCTTTATTATAAAGGTGGATTCTTTTTACTTCAGTTTCTCCCTACTCCAATCCACTGTGCACACTACCACCAGGAGCTAAGTCCTGCTTTCATCGTATGACTTGTCTGCTTAAAAACTGTACATTTCCAAACTCTTTTGAACAATGCTGAATGTGAGATGAGGTCTATCCAGTCCTCACAACTTTCCCTCTCTCGATTCCTTTGAAAAGCTTCTCCATTACAACTAGAATGTTCTACCCACCTTCCCTCCATTGTCCTGGCATTCTTGTGCAGCTCTCTCCCTTTCTCTCTACCTACATTAACTCCTATGTTTCCCTTTAACTTTATTTTAAACTGTCTTTTCAACTTCTTGTCACTCTTAACCAGTATGGTAATCTCTTGCTGCTCTGAATTAAAAGTATTTATTACTGGCAATCTTTACTTAGCACTGTGATATTAGGGAAAATACATGGACTTTAGAGTCAAATAGTATCACATTAGAATCATGGTTCTTTTATTAGGTATGTGACTTTGGGCAAGTTATTTAGCCCTTCTGAGCTCATTTTCACTTAGAAGATGGGGACCAGAGAACCATTTTGTATAATACAAAATTAGGATGCTTGTAGACAAACCAGGAATATAACAGGTATTATTTCTCTGTTATCTCTCCCAAGTCTGGCATACCTTTGTACTCAAATCACAGAATTAAACCACTTTAGAACTGGATGGTAATACCATGCCATTATCGAATCTTTTTCATTTTATTAATACAAAAACATGATTTCCAGATATCTTAAATATAAAAATGGGATAAGGTCAGACCATCCTAAAACAGTGGCCACTTCATTTTACTCCTTTTAAATATAATCTTCATTTGGCACCCAAACTCTTATGACGATCAAGTATACTTCTCCCAGCTTTAATTTCTCCATAGTAATAATCACTAACATACTACGTATTTTGTTTACTTCATTATCCATTCACTCCCCAACCTCCACACCCACCCCAGAAAGTAAGCTCCATGAAGGCAGTGAGTTTTATGGGCTTTGTTAGTACTCTATCTCTAGCGCCTAAAACAGTACTTGGCAATAGCAGATAATTAATAGTTATAAGATAAAATAATTAAGAATATATACCTATCTTTCCTTTAGCACTGATGAGACCAAAAACTTACAAGCGCTTGAGAACATACTATCCATACTTACTCTTCTTCTAATATGACTACTTCAAACAACTAAACTTTAAGAGGTTCTACTTTAACTATAGTTTTTTCTTTATAACTTATTCTCAATTCATCTTATTTTCTAAACTCTTTGAAAGAAAGTAACATTCAACACTGATACCCAAAATGAATGCACTCATTTTCTATACAGTAATTACCTTATTAAGAAGTGGCTGTAATTTGGTTAGTGCTATTACTGTAGCTTCTATCAGAACTTGACTGTTGTAAGTGTCAGGTCCTTTTAAGCAACTCTCAAGTGCCTTTTAGGAAAACAGAATTTTTTATTTTACTTTCATTGAAATAAAACATTAACTCCTAAACTGAATCTCGGAATGAATTCAGGAACATTTACTTATTTAATAAATGCTAGAATGATTTCTCATGCTATGGTGATCTTGGTAGCTAGCTTAATGTACATTTGTTTTCTTATTTTTTGACATTTCTACATTATAAGAGTCAGACATTATTATAGTAATTACAAATTAAATAATTTTATGCAAGGCTATAGTCTTACCATATAATTAAATGCTTTGAAAACTGGTAAAATACTAAGTGTACCTGCTTAGCAAAAGAGGCAACATATTTTATTTTAAAGACATCTTCCTTAATGAAGTAATCAGAGTTTACATATAAAGACAGCTTCTTTAGAGAAGACTTCTTCAAAGAATTACAATAAATAATCAAAATACATTTTAAAGGCTTAATAAGTAACATATAAGATATTTCATTGACCTCAAATTTAAACGTCTTTTAGAAAAATGAAAGATATGCTTTACAACTTGAGAACCATAAATATTTGGGAGAAGTGAGGGCGGAACAGGTACCTTGCTAAGAATACGGATTATCTGCTTTATCTGCCCATGAGACACTCGTTTGCTAATACACCCAAAGACAACAAGAGCTCTTGGTTGCAGGGATGGATTATATTGGAATGCAAATCTGCAATTAAAAGATCCACAGAACTTATAAAAACCTTTGTGTTTATATATACTAAATAATAAATTATAACATTGATCATACAGTAATAGCTGTATTTTCAACAATATGCATATTTTTACAACTTATATTTAATTTAGGACATACCTTTGAGCTAGTTCTGTCCACTGGTCCAGCCACTTGCACGTTGGAATATCTCTCATGCATGCCTAAAAAAGGGGATACTCTGAATACATATTGTACATAAATGTTTTTAGAACTGTTTAAATAATGTTTATTATGATGTCATTAAGTGACCTGTTACCAATAACACAGTCCATGCAAGTGTTTTTATTTAAGCATTAAGTACAAAATAGCACAATAAACCAATATTTCTTCTATATAGTATTAACATATTTTTAAAAAAAGATTTTAACTTAGTTTCTTATCATTTTGGCTTCTATACCTCCATGATCTCCAACAAAGCTTCTGTGACTGTTTCCAAGGATGTCAAAGCAAAAGTCTCTCTCTCATAGGAGCCAGGAGAGAATGACCTGTCCCGGTAACTGGAACGGAAGGCAATGACAGCAGCTGACTTGACTTTGCTAATGCCAAACAGCAAGTAAAATTTGGGTAATGAGAACTCTGTCAGACTGAGTCTCAAAACTTGCTTGGTCTCTTCTGTAAGAGAATAAAGGAACAAGTAAAGACAGAAAATATTACTTTTTAATTTCTAAAGTTCCATGTTTCATTTTGAATTTAGAAAATTTGAATACCATATAAAAATTACATAATCATGTTCCCTAAATCAAACCTCTAGATACATTGTATTAATGCTCCTTGCTTCATTTATCTACAAATTAGTGCTGGTAACTGAACATGGTCAACTGGCACTGAGTATTCCGCTTATGGGATAACTCTACATGACAAGTATGCATAGAAAATCTTTACTATAGCTTGATATGGAATGGAAGTAATTTATTTTCTTTTTGGTAATATTTCATGTCATTACTGGAGGCTTAAATTAGCAACTTGGTGTTAGAGCACAAACATAAATAAGATAATCTATATTGATCAGGTGAAGTAAAATGGAGAAAGGAACTGGTAAACACAAATTCCTTTCCTAGAACTTACCACTAAAATGAAGCTGTGAACAAGTACACAGAGAGTGAATGATATTAATGACCAGTCCATGTGTGGAAGCTCTAAGGGAGAGCGGACCTGTGGCTACTAAGAAAGTAACAACGTGGAAGAGGTAGGGAAGATGAGCTGCCACATCAAGGGAATTGTTGAAGGACAGCATCAGCATGTAGCGTGCTAAAATAGCAATATCATCCCACATAAGATGTTGTTCTAAAGTAGGAGTTGGAGATAAGCATGTCTTGTCAATTATTTTGCACATCCTTCCAATAACCTGTAAAGAAGCAGGATTTTTTTTTTTTTAAAAAAAAACATGGGACTCAAAGTTTTAGCACAAAAAAGTTCAGTTTAATTTAAAAGTAATTACAAAACAAAAAACCTCCTGATGATAAAACAGATATGCTATAGTACAGAAGGCAAAAGAAAAGTGATTACCTTGCTTGAAACCAATTTCACATTTCCAGAAGCCAAAGCTACAGCAGTATCTGCCATCACCTCAGCTTTTATTGATCCCAAGCCACCTGTTGCACTGGTTTTGATGAAACTGTCTAGTACAACATCAAGCAGATCTGTAATCTAGTTGAAGAAGGAAAATAACATGTTTTTAATCACTCTACCAATTTAATTTTTAATTAAAAAATATTCATTGGAACAGCCTAATCAATATGAAAATTCTATTTTACCTGAGGCCTCAAAAATACTAGATTTTATTTACAGGCCTGTCAGTAAATACAATTTATTATAAAATATCCAGGAAAGGATGAGTATATTCATTTGACTCCTTCAGAGATTAAGAGATTGGTATTCAAAAATTTTAAATCTCTATCAATACTATCTTCAGTCACTTGCAAAGTATCTCTATGCTTTTCTAAGACAGTAATGTAGCATCAATATAAAATAGTAATTTGAAAATACAGAGCTGGGTGCAGTGGCTCACGCTTGTAATCCCAGCACTTGGGGAGGCTGAGGCGGGCGGATTGCTTGAGGCCAGGAGTTCAAGACCAGCCTGGGCAACATGGCAAAACCCTATCTCTAAAAAAAAAAAAAAAAAAAAAAATACAAAAATTAGCCAGGTGTGTTGGTGTGCACCTGTAGGCCCAGCTACTTGGGAGGCTGAGGTGGAAGGGTCACTTGAGCCTGGGAGGCAGAGGTTGCAATGAGCCGAGACTGTACCACTGCACTCCAGCCTGGGTGACAGAGCGAGACTCAGTCTCAAAAAAAAATAAAATATAGGAAATGACATTAAGTACCAGGATGTTTTCTAGGGCTGCAACACTGGCTCCAAGGTTATTTCTAATTATTTGGAGGAGGAGCAGCAGTGTTTGAGTGAGGGCATTATTTCCTTAAATGATTACTTTGAAGAAATGATATGCCTAATTCTTGTCAGATAAAAATAAAATTTACATTATATCCTATTTTAATATTGGCATTCTTATGTAGAACTATAAATGAAAGCAGATGTCCCAAATAGCATCAATAAGAAGAAACATCTACTGACACCTTTGGAATGTAGAGAACTAGAATAAAGCACTAGAAATGTCACCAGATTTCTACAGTTCTATATAATATATATATAAAATCTAGTTATTTGCACAGTCTCCTTCAAGGCAAATATATATTTATATTATAAATATAATCCTACATATAATCCTATATAATTATATACATATATATATATATATATATATATATATATATATATATATATATATATGTATATAATTATGCCTTGAAGGAGACTGTGCAAATAACTAGCTTTTCTCTGGCTCTGAGACATGCACTAGACATTTACAATTTTGAACCAGATGAAGAGCTGGGTGAGTGTCTACATGCTTTCTGAAGGAGGAAACTGTGTTTTTTACAACTCTATCCCTAGTGTCTAGCGCAGTGCTTTGCCCAATGTGGCACCAGATAAATATGTGCACAAAGGAGATACTAGATAAATATTTGAGCAAACTCAATACCTGCCCAAGGCTTCCCCATATTTTTGCTTGAATAGATGGGTACATCTGTTTTTCATTGATGGTCATTGTTATCAGCTTGTCAAGAATAGCAGTAACTCTTTGTCGTTTGGCATCATCATTATGCTTGCAAAAACGAACTAGATTTGACAGCCATGGAGTCATGTATTCCAAACAAAGGTGTTTCAATTCAATACCTGGAAAAAAATACACTATTAGCATGTGATGGTCAATGAAAATCACATCAACAATTATTTAACATAAAGAATTCGGGGAAAAAATGGTAAAAGGTAAAGACTATTACCTAGAATCAGGCCTGGAGAAAAGACACTTGGCAAATATATTTTTGTAGAGGCGAAGAAAGAACAGTCCTTGAAGAAAGTAATTTTAAAAGCCAGTAAGCCAATTTTTGAAAAGTTTTGTCTTATTTTCCTCCATTTTAGTCCTTTCTTGTTAAAAAGTTGTTTTATTCTCATTATAAAAGGAAATGTGGTAATCATAGAAAGTTTGGTAAAAGGAAAGCATCACCACAAAATGAAAACTGTATTAACATTGGTGTATCATCTCATCTCTCCTCAGGCTTTCAAATTTATGTAGAGTTAATGTACATTTATGTGTGTGTACACAGGTATAACCCACTCCCACTCCCCCGCAAAAACGGGGATTATGCTATACATGCAGTAGGCTCTGAATATTTTTTTCAGTGATTATAATGAGATTATTCATTTTTTTTTTTTTTGAGATGGAGTCTCCTCTGTCGCCCAGGCTGGAGTGCAGAGGAGCGATCTCGGCTCACTGCAAGTTCCGCCTCCCGGGTTCACACCATTCTCCTGCCTCAGCCTCCCGAGTAGCTGGGACTACAGGCGCCCACCACCACGCCCGGCAAATTTTTTTTCATATTTTGAGTAGAGACGGGGTTTCACTGTGTTAGCCAGGATGGTCTCAATCTCCTGACCTCGTGATCTGCCCGCCTCGGCCTCCCAAAGTGCTGGGATTACAGGCGTGAGCCACCACCCCTGGCCTATACTGAGATTATTTATTCAACATTACAAATTCTGCAAACTTCTTTTAAACTTACTTGAAAAAGCTTCACATTTATAAGACAAAAATTGTACAAAAATTTATCTATACACTTTACCTAAAGTCTCAAAGAGTTTTTAAAATTGTGGTAAAATATACACAACACAAAATTTACCATTTTAACTATTTTTAAATGTACAGTTCCGTGGCTTTACCCATTTTGAAGGGCACAGTTCAGTGGCACTGAGTACATTCAAATCATTGTGCAGCCATCACCACCATCCATCTCTAGAACCTTTTCATCTTCCAAACTGAAATTCTGTAACAAAGCCATTTTTCAATGGCTTCATATTATTCCATCAGATGGAGAACCAATAATTTAATCAGTTCCTTATTCTTTGACTTTTGGCCTGTTCATTTTTTTGCTATTATAAATAATGTCATATGAAGTTCTAAAGTAGGCAAAATAAATCTGTGCAATAGAGGTCATAATAGTGTTTACTCTTGGTGAAGGGAGGGTACTGAGAATATCCCTCTGGATGCTAGAAATGTTCTATGTCTAGATCTGGAGATACTTTCATGATGTATTTGCATGTAGAAGTTCATCAAGCTGTTGACTTAAGATCTTGCACTTTACTGATGACAAGATATACCTCAATTTAAAAATCTACATAAAAATAATGCTATAATAAACATTTTAACATTAATTCTTTAGGATAAATGCTAAAAAGCAGAATTATGAGGCCAAAAGGTATGAATAGTCTTAAGGTCTTGTTATCCACTTCCAAATGCCTTTCTAGAAAAATTGCCTCTACTCACAATTCCACAGACCACCAGGAATGGATCTTAAAAAAAAAATCTTTGCCAAGCTGATAACTGATTATCTCACTATTCTTTCAATTGGCTTTTATTAGTGAATTTCTTAAAATATAAATATTCTTTTTGAGATGGGGGCCTCACTATGTTGTCCAGGCTGGTCTCAAACTCCTGGGCTTAGCGATCCTCCTGAGCAGGTGGGATTACAGGCATGTGCCATGGTGCCTGGCTTTTTTCTTTTTTTGTACAAATATTCTTTTTTAAAAACATGATCTGTATGTTACTGTTAATCCACTTTTTATTAATCGGTCAGCACCCTTCATGATTAAGGATTTTATTCATTCATTCATTCATTTATTCATTCATTTATTTATTTTGAGACAGAGTCTCCCTCTGTTGCCCAGGCTGGAGTGCAGTGGAGTGATCTCGGCTCACTGCAACCTCTGCCTCCTGGGTTCAAGCAATTCTCCTGCCTCAGCCTCCTGAGTAGCTGGGACTACAGGCATGTACCACCGAGCCCGGCTAATTTTTGTATTTTTAGTAGAGAGGGGATTTCACCATATTGGCCAGGCTGGTCTCGAACTCCTTACCTTGTGATCCACCCACCTCAGCCTCCCAAAGTGCTGGGATTACAGGCGTGAGCCACCGCGTCTGGCCGATTAAGGATATTAATCATTTCTCATATTTGCTCCAAGTGTATTTCCTAGTTTTTAATTATCTTCACTTGTGTTTATTTTTGAGTAGCTATGTTTTGAAGTTTTATGTAGTCAAATCTGTTCGCTATTTCCTTTGTTTCATCCTATCACTTTTTTACTTCATATGTCCTTACTCATCTAGAAAGCAATTAAATATTCACTTGTTCCTCTTCTTTTTAAAATGGTTCCAAGCTTTTATATACAACTTTTTTTTTTTTTTTTTTTTTTTTTTTTTTTTTTTTAAATAGAGAAGGGTCTCACTCTATCATCCAGGCTGGAGTGCAGTGGTACGATGATAGCTCACTATAGCCCTGACCTCTGGGGCTCAAGCAATCCTCCTGCCACAATCCTCTTGCCTCAACCTCCCAAAGTGCTGGGATTACAGGCGAGAGCCACCACACACAGCCCTACTCAACTCTTAAATACAGGCAGAACATACTTGGTATCTTATGGTGTACGGTGAAGACGAAGACCTAATTTAAGTCATTTCCCAGCCTCATTTATTAAATGATTTAATCTCTCCCTCATCAGTTTGTGATGCTTCTTTATCAATCTGTTTCTCTTAAACTGATCTGATGGCTGATTCTTGCACATGTATGTTTTAATTATTGTACTGCTATAAAGTGTTCAGACATCTGTACTATTAAGTCTCAAGTCTCTTTCCTTTCAATATTTTCTTAGCTATTATTGCACTTTTATGTAGAATTTAGAATCATTTAAGTTCTATCTCCATTCTCAATCCTCAAATCCCATGGTTATTTTGATGAAATTACATTAAATTTGTAATAATCTGGGAAGAACTGTTCATGCAGGAACACAATATGCCTTTACATTCACTCAAATCTTCTCTCATATTAATATTTATGAATAAAGTTTATACTTTTCTTGTTTTGTCAGTCCTACACATTTTTTTGTTAGGGTTATAGTCCTACATCTCTTACCTGACAAAGAGTCTTAGTGAATTGCTGAAGCTTTTAATTATCTAATATATAAAAGTCAAGAAATGTGTTTGAATGCAGAAAAAAAAGTTTTATATATTACAGGGAAAGGAAAGGGAAGAAAAGGTCAGGAAATATGCTGGGAGAAGATCAACATTTATAAAACTATAGGATATAAAGATGGACAAATATAAAGAGTGGATATTAAATTTATAAGACTTAGTTAAAACAAAGTCAGAACTGACTCTGGGCCCTGTATTATGTGCCACTGTGCTCTCCGTGAACTGTACATTTACAATAAATTCATTGTTCAAAGTCAACCTAAAGAAAAGAGAAAATGACTAGTTCTCTAAAATTAAGGAGGCAACATGGATACTTATGTGGACTTTTCTGCTATGAAGAGAAATGCTGAAGCTAATTAAACTGCAACAGTGAAGAAAATACTTTGTAAGTGGTCCAGAGGTGTGTAAAGTACCAAACTCTTGCCGCTTTGCTTTTATTATCAGAATTTTGGTGGATTTCTCAATGTGGCCTACCAAAAAGTTCCTTCAGAGTTCCTTCAGTTACAGGATACCACAGATATAAAATCAGAAGAGGAAAAAAAGTAAAAATGTAAGTGAAAGTCTTCACTGGAAAATTCTGAAATGAAAGGGTTTTCTTTGAATTCTCTTAGAATAATTGTTAGTATTAAAGAAAATTATCATTACTTACTAGATTTGCTAAATCCAGAAATACACTCTTCCAAAAATTCTAACGTGAGGTGTGGCTCATTGGCTGCCAGTGTCTTACTAATAGAGACAATAAAGAGGGTGTTGTTGGCAGGGATACATAAACCTGATGTCTCTAGTAACTGGCCCTCGATTTTTAAATTAAAGGTACAAGTTAAGGCACACAGAAGATTATAGGCAGCTGACCTAGGAGAAAACACAAATGAAGTTGTTTTAAAACGTATTTTTCCTTATAGTTCCAAAATTTTTTCATAACATACAATTTGTGATTCTGTTACAAAGTATGATCAACTATTTTTAAATTTTATGATCAGTTAGAAATAAGATGTTATAATTCTACAGTAAAACCAAAATACCCCTTAATCATTTAGGGATTTTATAAAAAGGGACACACTTGATATAACCATAAGAGCACTGTGAGGCTCCTATGACAGAGGGGCGGGGTATAGGCTTTCCTAAAATACATCTCACTGAGACATAAAATATGAGAGGACTTATGGTCCTAATGTGGATCAATAGAAATTAAGTCAGAATAAGGCACACCATACATTTTTAGCAAAGCCAAAACTCAAATTCTGGTTCTCTTTCCCACTAGATCCAGTTATAATGGGGATCATAGGGACAGATATCAGATGGCCCTTCCCTTCATCAAATTAGAATGTGAAAATCTTTAATCAGGATCTGCTGAACTTCTTTCTGGGTGTCCTAAAAGTTACCCTACAAACTGAAGGTTAAAAACAAAATTAACTTATAATTAAGTCCTCCCATTTTTCCCTCTATGACCTCATTACATCATATATAACCACCAATATGGAAAAAAACTATAATATCCAGGTTTCATTGAGACCAAACATCACTTACAAATGTCTGAAAATATATTTAAGCAATTTAGGAGACAGCCTAAAAGACTCAGACTCAATTTAAAAATTTTAATTTTCTCCCCTGTCCAGTAAAGGAAATAGTTTGTTCAGTAACTGTCAGGTTTTCCTTACCTCTGAATGTTTATCATGCTACTATATTGATGCAACAACCATATAGGGAAAAAAAGCCACTGGAATTTAAGTCTGCCTAAAGGCTTTTTCTCTGGGATGACATGCTTCAGCAAAAAGCAGAAGCTGTCAGAGATTGCTTTAGGTCACTAGAGAAGAATACAGGTTTACCCAGGCTAATAATTGTTAAAAGGTTGTATTTTTCAATGAAGATCTTTGAATTAGAAATTAAAGGCAGGCTTATAGCTCCATTTTCCTAAAATGTGAAAATTAGTGTTATTATTTCTGTTTACATATCTTTTTTCTTTTTTAAAAAACTTTTAGTCAGAGTCTCACTATGTTCCCCAGGCTGGTGTGCATTGGCTATTCACAGACATGATTATAGCACACTGCAGCCTTGAACTCCTGAGCTCAAGCTGTCCTCCCGCCTCAGCCTCCCGAGTAGCTGGGACTACAGTGCCAGTGCTCAGCTTGTATCTTTTACTAATTCCCAGGAATTCTAAGTTATACAATTTTGACAAAACTTTTATCCTGTGTATTTCAACACTTATAAAGAATTGGACTTCCTCAACCCAGGACAGGTGTCACAGACACCTATGAGATAAAGGAAGCAAAGCATACACAAAATCTTATGTACAATTTCTGAAGCCCATCCAAGTAAACATATCTTGATTTTCTTCTTTTTCCCTTTAAGTAAAGGAGAATTTGGAATCCTAAAAGGCCCACTATAAAACCTGGGCTATGTTATCCTCAGGGAAAATTTTCAGAAGTTAAGAATTTACATCTGAAAAATCTTCAAAGTCTCAGGGTACTTGAGACAAAGAATTATCCTAACTTGGTAAGGAGAGGGGAGAAAAGGGAGAAAGGGTGCAAGGAGATGCTGGCAGGGAGGGAAAAGATAAGAAAATACTACTTACTAAGTATAAACTATTTGCTAGTTTGCTATACTATACTACTACACATACTATTTTTTAAGCTTTTGTGGGTATATAAGAAAGGCAATTACCTTTATTTCACAAATAAGGAAACTAGATATCTGAAAACTTCAGTATCTTGCTCAAAGTACATAGCTAGAAAGTGGCATATCTGTTCAAACCACATCTACTCACTCCACAGCCATGCTCTTTCCACATGCATATTCAAGTTATTAAGCCTAAATGGAACCAATTACACTCTGCTCAGATGACTTATTTGTCTTAAGATTTATTTTGAGAATTTTGTTAAGAGTGATGTAGGTGGAAAGTATGCAATAATGTTACCAAGTTATTGAACATTAGGCCTTCTTTTGTAAAACAATAATCTGACTTGACTTTTAAACTAAATAGTGATATACTTCTGAAAATGGAAAAAAATTAGAGGACTTAGAGGAAGAAAAACTTAATTTAGGATACTTTGGAAAAAAAAATCTGCTATGTCGTGTTGTTTTACATGATGGAGAAAGGACATATATTGGTTTAGTGTGAATCACCCTGTTTGGAATTCCACAGTTCATGTGAATACCCCACAACTTGATGAGGTCACAGTGGTTAACCAACATTGCATACCTTCCAATTTACAATATTAAGGTAGAGGCTGTTTTAAAATTCATTAAATGGTCTCATTTTAAAAGCAACAAACCCCAAATCAAACTGAAGTGAATTTTAAAAAACCTACCGTAAACTCGGGTCAGAACTGCCTAAATTAAGTAATGCGATATTGAGCAGTGTCCCAGGGACATCTTTTGGCCGAATCTTGGTGTGTTGGGGGATAGAGTCGGGCTGTGACAGTTCCCAGCGGGTCCGGATATGAATGATAGACTGGACAATGGCTTCACACTCCTGGTGCATGAAGGTGAGCGGCGTGCCCTGGTTTGCAATGGTTAAGGTGAACTGGTTCTCATCTACTAGGCAGATTTCTTCAATTTCCGAAGCATAATAAATGTCATTTAGAAAGACTGATTGCCCTAGGACTTTTGTTCGCTCTGCTGAAGTTACTTGGACAGCAGTAGAACCAACCTGGAAAGTGGTGGTGACGGGGTGAAGTGGAGAAGAATTAAACTCTTTTACATAAAATTCTAAAAGGCTCCAGAAACCAACCAACCAAACAAAACACTATGCCATTTAAGGAAGAGTTCCCACCATTGTATATTCAAATGGTTCAGTAATTATTATGATAAATGTTCTCAAAAGAAACAAAAAACATTTAAAAATTTTTTAATTTTCCTTTTTAAAAAGGTCAAGAATCTTATAGAAGGCCGGGTGCAGTGGCTCATCCCTGTAATCCCAGCACTTTGGGAGGCCGAGGTGGGCAGATCACTTGAGGTCAGGAGTTCGTGATCAGCCTGGCCAACAACCTTGTCTCTACTAAACCTACAAAAACTAGCCTGCCGTGGCGGTGGGCGCCTATAATCCCAGCTACTGGGGAGGCTGAGGCAGGAGAATCGCTTGAACCTGGGAGGCAGAGGTTGCAGTGAGCCAAGATCATGCCACTGCACTCTGAGATCACGCCACTGCACTCCAGCCTAGGCAACAGAGTGAGACTCCATATCAAAAAACAAAACAAAACAAAACAAACAATCTTATAGAAAAGTACTGATTTTATCCTGAAGGTTCATGTTCCTCACTCTGAAAAAAGCATGTAATAATCAGAACTCTCATTAGGTAATTTCTACTCTCCACACATTCCTACAATTTGAATGACATAACAAATTGCCCTCTCCAAAACACTCTTCTACTTCCAGCCTAAGCTAGAATAAAATGTATACGTCTCATATCCTCCACAGGACCTCCATGATGACACAAATGTTGGTCTTCCTACATCTAGATTTACATAACCTTTTATTTTTTGAGACAGAGCGTCCCTCTGTTGCCCAGGCTGGAGTGCAGTGGCGCAATCTCGGCTCACTGCAACCTCCACCTCCCGGGTTCAAGCGATTCTCCTGCCTCAGCCTCCAAGTAGCTGAGATTACAGGTGCCCACCACCATACCCGGCTAATGTTTGTATTTTTAGTAGAGACGGGGTTTCACCGTGTTGGCCAGGCTGGTCTTGAACTCCTGACCTCACGTGATCTGCCCACCTTGACATCCCAAAGTGCTTGGATTACAGGCGTGAGCCACCGCGACAGCCTTACGTGACATTTTATACACCACTATAGGGGTAGGACACCTAGGGAGGCCAGGATATAGTCTAGTTAGTCAAGAAAAGCAATGAATCGTTTGCAAAACACAGACTGGAACTTACTTTAATAGAAACTTTGGTGTCTTTGTGAGCTAGCTTGAGAGCATTGTGGAATACCTTCAGGTCCTCTTCTAAAGCCAAGGTGGCAGCAGGTAGTTTCTGTTGTTCATGCTCTATGTGCTCAGCCAGTTTCCCAGGACAGTCTATGAAAACAAGCCTTTTGCTACCTTTGAGGCCAGTCAGCAGCCGCTCATGATACTTGGTGTACTCCCTGACCCAGGAGTTACAGTTATAGATATAGACTGCGGAGACGTTGTCGTAAGCAAAGCCAGGAAAAACAACAAACCACTTAGAGAGAAAGTCTGTTTTAAAGCGATTGCTAGGCCCGGTATGGGTAAGGTCCACTACAATTTCATATGGCTTTGCATAATATGGCTTTAAAGTCAGTAAGACATGGTATATCAGCAAATCACCATTGATTTGACCAGTTTTGAACCTAAGGAAAATGACAAAAAAGACAAAGATTATTAGCAGTGTTTAAAATAAATATACAGATGCCACTAATCAATTTTATTTTATGATTCATTTTCTAGAGAGAATAATATAAAACAATTCTTCAAAGTCTGGATTCATTTTTTAAATCAGTTGTTTTTTGGACACTGAGAAATAAGGCTAAGAGAAGAGACAAATCTCCAATTCAAAAATTTTGAGCCACGACAACAATAAAAAATTTGCCCATGAGTCAAGAAAGGAAGAAAACAGTGGGAATTAGTTGGTTGCCTGCAGGGCCCACCAAACTCCTCAGGCGAATAGTCTGGTAGGAATGACCCATCTGGAGCTCTGGAGTGAGATGGTTTTAGCCAATCCATTTATCCCACCTTGATCACAGACTGATTCAGCAATGAACACATTATTCAAACCAGGACAACCAGGGCCAAAGAGGCCCAGTTCAGGTAGTTTAGCTTAAATTGTTGGGATTTGAGATATTTCTTTCCTGGTGTTTATAAACAAGGGAATACGTAGCCCTAGGAGTTGCTAGCTCATATTTTGGGATATAAAAGAAGAGCCTCCCAAAAGACTGAAGAGAAGGAGCTGAGAAATAGACAAACTGGAACCCTGGCCATATCATTTGTGTATGAGATAAAGCCTCTCCTGGGGTCAAATTTATCCCAGGACTGCTCAGTTATATAAGCCAATAAATACCATTTTTTGATTAAGCCATATTAGGTCATATGTTGCTTAAAACCAAAAGAATACTAATAAATGGGAGCAGCCACAGTGAGGACCATGAAAAAGCCCTGAAGTAATGGTACCAAAGTTTCAAATCAAAACAATCTATGTTAACTTAGGCCCAAAGTTTTCCATATGTGATGATTCTGGTGATAATACTACTAAGTAAGTTAAAATAAATCTTTACCTCAGAGGTTGGTTAATGGATATAAAAATATAATCAGGGCTGGGCACAGTGGCTCACGCCTGTATTCCCAGCACTCTGGGAGGCTGAGGCAGGTGGGTTACATAAGGCCAGGAGTTCGAGACCAGCCTGGCCAACATGGCAAAACGCTGTCTCTACTAAAAATACAAAAATCAGCCAGGCATGGTGGTACATGTCTGTAATCCCAGCTACTTGGGAGGCTGAGGCACGAGAATCACTTGGACCTGGGAGGCAGAGGCTGCAGCGAGCTGAGATTGTACCACTGCACTTCAGCCTGGGCAACAGTGAGACTGTCTTAAAAAAATAATAATAAAATAAATAATATATGTATTGTTAGAATTAGATAGAAGGAACAAGTTCTACTATTCATAGTAAGGTGACTAGTTAATAATAACATTGTATATTTCAAAACAGCTAGACGAAACAATTTCTTTTCTTTGAGGCAATGGATATCCTAATCACCCTGATTTAATCATTACACATTATATGCATGTATCAAAATATCACACATACAGGCAGGGCATGGTGGCTCACGCCTGCAATCCCAGCACTTTGGGAGGCCAAGACGGGCAGATCACCTGAGGTCAGGAGGTCAAGACTAGCCTGGCCAACAGGGTGAAACCCTGTCTCTACTAAAAATACAAAAATTAGCTGGGCGTGGTGGCACGTACCTGTAGCCCCAGCTACTTGGGAGGCTGAGGCAGGAGAATTGCTTGAACCTGGGAGGGGAGTTTGCAGTGAGCTGAGATTGTGCCACTGCACTCCAGCCTGGGCGATAGAGCGAGATTCCAACAAAAACAAAAACAAAAAAAACCAAAAAAATCACACATACTCCATTAATATGTACAAATTATCATGTATCAATAAAAAACTTCACCTCAGAATTTTTAATCTTGTTGGGAGAAAATAAGATAAAAATATGACAAGTCAAATGATTTTAAAACAACACAAATATTTCAAGATAGAAGATATGAGGTAGAAAGTAATCACTTATCAAAGGAAATGCAGAGAAAATACTGTTATTAAGACAAAGGAGAGAGAGAGAGAGATTAACACAAACTGGGCAGTCAGTGAAAGCTACATAGAAGATACAGTGGCTGAATCAGGTAAGGAGGAATGCAGACTCAGCAAGAGGACTGGGCAGGCCTTATGGAGAAAGGCAAAAAGGAAAAGAAACAGGTAACTAGATGTGTTGAAGAGACAGCTAGTCTAGCCAGAATGGAGGATTCAGGTAGAGAAGTTTTGAGAGATAAAGCTGGGAAAATACAGAATAGTCAAATTGTGGAGAGACCATAACTGCCCAACCAAAGGGCTTAGGTTTTCTACTAGGGGCTCACCATTTCTCAGCATATGTTCTGTGGACTACTGGCGTCAGAATCAACTGTGGTGCTTGATAAAAATGCAGTTTCCTGGTCCCAACCTGGACCTACTAAATATGGATCTATGTAGTGGGGCCTGGAAATTTTTATCTTTTTTTTTTTTCCCTTAACTCAGGCTGGACTGCAGTGGCACGGTCACAGCTCACTGTAGCCTTGACCTCCCCAGGCTCAGGTGATCCTCCCACCTCAGCCTCCTGAGTAGCTGGGACTACAGATAAGCGCCACCATGCCCGGCTAGTTTTTTGTTTTTGTTTTTTTGTATTTTTTGTAGAGACAGGATTTTGCCATGCTGCCCAGGCTGGTCTCGAATTTCTGTGGCTCAAGTAATCCTCCCGCCTCAGCCTCCCAAAGTGCTGAGATTACAGGTGTGAGCCACCATGTCCTGCTTTTATAATTTTTAAACAATCTTCTCATCTGATGTTTATGTACACAAACATTTCTGAATCATTGTTGTATGTATTAGGGAACTGTTCAACCGGTTTTATTTTCCCTTAAAGAAAGGGTGGTATGACCAAAGACAGTGATGTATACAAGATATAAGAAGGATTCAGGGCTACCGAAAAGGCACTGTAGAGTCTAGGTATGACCTGATAAGGATCTAAAATAGTACTGTTGACAGTAAAAACAGGGAAAAAGAAACTGATCCAACAATATGAAGGAAGGACCAACATGATTCAAAGTCTGATCAGGACTGAGAGGACTTAAATTAAAATGATGTGTTGTATACTAAGCCTCTGATATTAGAATGTTGCTATCATGAACAGAAACAAGAAGACTGTCACAGGCAGCCTCCTTTAAAGAAAAAATAAAGTTCTTTTTATTTTATTAATTTAATTAATTTTTAAGAGATGGAGTCTTGCTATGTTACCCAGGCTGGATTTGAACTCCTGGGCTCCACCAGTGATCCTCCTACCTCAACCTACCTAGTAGCTGGGATTACAGATATGTGCTGCCATATCCAGTTCTTTTTTTTTTTTTTTTTTTTTTTTTTTTGAGACAGAGTCTTACTCTGTCTTCCTGGCTGGAGTGCAGTGGCATGATCTTAGCTCATGCAGCCAAGATCTCATGATCTCTGCAGCCTCCACGTCCCGGGTTCAAGCTATTCTCCTGTCTCAGCCTCCCAAGTAGGTGGGACTACAGGTGCATGCTACCCTGCCTGGTTAATTTTTATATTTTTAGTAGAGACAGGTTTTCTCTATGTTGGCCAGGCTGGTCTTGAACTCCTGGCCTCAAGTGATCTGCCTGCGTCAACCCTCCCAACGTGCTGGGATTACAGGTGTGAGCCACCGCGTTCAGCCCATACCTAGTTCTTAAAGTCTGTTTCAGTCATGTTAAACTTGAGGTGATGACAGGATGTTTGACAGTTGTGTGTGTGTGTGTGTGTGTGTGTGTGTATACACACACTACACCACACGAAAGCATTTTCTGTCCCATATAATCTAAGTTTACTAGATATTTTCTCAAATAATTGCTGCAGTTCCACAATTGTTACATTATCTGATCAGTATCCCATGGACTCCAAACTCACATTTTCAAATCAGTCTGTAGATTTCAAATAAGTCTTTTAGAGAAGATTTGAAATGGAAGATACCATTTCAAAACCTCTTTTGAATGACACTAAAGCATGTAGCAGGCCTATAGAATGAGCATACTGTCAAAAGGCATTAAGTGGAAAACCCTCCCTGCTCTGGAGGCGGGGATTGGTTCTACAAAGCCTCCTGTCATGCCAGTGGCCAACTAGAGAAGTTGGAGCTTTTTCGTTGTTTTTTTTTTTCCCCTCCTGTGACATGTGCTTTAGTTGCAGTGGAAAGGAAATGTGTCATCTGTGGTTTGGTTTTAAAAGTGGAAAACTAGCTGCACATATCCTTTTTTACTGCAGATTTACTTTAAGGCTCATATTCTCCAAGTCTATTCTGCTTTAAAAAGAAGACAAGAAAAGAAGTGGTTTATCAAAATCACGTTATAATCAGATTTTGACCAAGCATTTTGTAAGGTAGGTCATATATATACGGCTTTTCTTATGCCTTTTCACTTCTAACGTCTGACAGATTAGTGTTCGAGGAAATGCTATCAAAGTGTGTAAGAATCTCACTAACAAACTAGAATTGTGACTGAAAATGTATACTTTTTTTTTCTGTCCTGTTACATAAATTTTAAGTTAGAAATGAAAAAATTTGCCATCGCCATGGAGTTTTAAATTAGGATTACGAAGGATCTAAGTTTGGTTTCCTCAAGTAAACTGGAAATGTTTTGTTATTTTTCAAAAGTTAAAAAATAAATTTCTCATTACTAATGCTTGGACATTACAAATTCTACTG
This sequence comes from Homo sapiens, assembly GCF_000001405.40. Classification (NCBI taxonomy): domain Eukaryota; kingdom Metazoa; phylum Chordata; class Mammalia; order Primates; family Hominidae; genus Homo; species Homo sapiens. The sequence continues at coordinate 400,330 of NW_025791803.1, read as the reverse complement.
AAAATAAATTCTACTGAAAATGATCAGATATAAGAAAACTTTTGATAACACAACCTGGCCTCCAAGGCATAAACTGGAGTAAAAACAGTCCTCAATTCTCAGGCATTTGTAAGGGCAAGAGAAAGTCTCATTTTGTCATACAGTTTGTTTATTTGGGCACTGCAGTACATCTGGCTGAAGACAATCAACAGCAGGCCTATTATCTGTTCCGTGGTAAGCACTGTTAAAATGTGTACCAATACTATGATGTATACTACACTGTTAATGAACTAATGTGAACAGAATAATCTACTTTAAATCATTCTAGCATCTAATACAGAAGTCCAGTCTAGTATAAAAAGATGGAAATTACTTGCTAATCCAATTTCAAGTATTTCTTTTTGTGAAAGAATCATGAAATATCCAAAGATTTATGTCACTAAACTTAAAAATTAAAGCTGAACACTATTATACAAAAGCCAGTGACTTGGGCCTTTAATTTTCTACTAAAGGTCATAATCTAAAAAGTAATCTTAATCCTGGAATATTTAATAGTTTTTCCTCCCTACTATTAATATGAAATATAGTCTCCAGTTAGCATTGTTTATTACATGCTACTTTTGTTTGCATAACTCAACGTATCACATTTCTTATTTTCAATTTCTGTATTTTAATAGTATACAAATGTCAGCCAATGACATATAACAACCATTTCTTATAAAACCTTGATGTTCAAAAGCCTGACTAGCAGTGGCATCCATGTTGCTTAGGAGTTGGTTTGGAAACAAAGACTTTCAGGCCCTACCTATACTAGCTAGGTAAGAATCTGCCTTTTTTTTTTTTTTTTAAAATAAAAGGACTCCTAAGTACATTTGAGAAGAATTTCTATAGCATACGTAGGGTTCTTAACCAGGCAATTTCATTTAGTAAATCTCAGGAGAACAATATAGTTTTGCTTTTAGTTCATTCAAATAAATGCTAACAATAAAATACTCCTTTCAAAAGTAGCTCAAGACAAACTGGTATATTATTATAAGATACCTTAATAATGATTATAAATCTTTCCTGCTGGGTTAGCAGTACATGGAACTGTTAAATTCTAAGATATGCCATTTCTATTTAAATCAATCATTTGGTAGATTTAAAAAATGTATAATATAACTTGTCTCCTTTTTGTACTAGTTTCCAGCAAGCTCAGGGCCAAAGTGGAAATTCAACATTTTCAATTATCTGTTGAGATGCTTATAACCTGCCACTTCATCCCAAATCATCAAGATCCTGATGCTCTATTTCTATTTTATTACACATTTTTTTTTACAATTATGTCAAAATCAGAAAAAATGCTAGGTATAAATGATGCTTTAAAAGAAAACCCAGCAACTTTTGTTGAACTTTTAAGTCTACTCAGAGGAAATTTGCTGTTTTTTTTTTTTTTCTTCAGATTTTTAGGTTGAGAAAACTGGTATGCCTTTGCCTTCAGAAAGACACAGTCAGTCCAGGGAAATATAAATGAAAAGAGACAACCACCACAGTAAAATTGCGTTCACAAATACACTTACAAATGTATTTCTAAGTACCAGCTTTATTCTAAGCTTCAAGATGAACACCCAAGAAAAAAAAAGAACACCTTGAATTTCTATTTGAAGTTCAGTTTCTTTTGGTTGCTACCAAACTTCCCCTCTTTCCACCAAAAAAATTTGCATTTATTTCATACATGAAGCAAGAAGCTCAAGGCCACATTTCTTCTGTAAAGATTGGTGACAGGTTAGAGGGTGGGTAGTTTCTGTAAGAATGATCCTTAATTTTTTTTTTTTTTTAAAGAAGGAATCAGAAAAGTAAAAGCAGAACTAACTGACTCAAAGCAGAAGTCTAGCACGCTTCAAAGGAAGAAAACTATATAAAGCCATGATAGTCCACTTAAAATGATTAATATTTATTTGTAATGCTAACTTCTAGCATCTAAAAGTGTTAATAGAAATTAAAATGCTTCTTCATACATAGCTGAATAGAAAAGAAATTTAGTTGAGAAGGAATTCAGGGTAGCGAATATTAGGCATAAGCTTGTAGTTTACTTGTAACATCTCAACACTATCTTTTAACTACAATTACCAAAACTAGGATCCATTATTCTTTCACAAACTAACAAATTATATTGCTATCCCAACAGATTGCCAAGTATGCCCACGGACATGGAACACACAGGACATTACCTACATCTTGCCTTTCTGATGACAACAGTTTTTTCTTTGTCTCCTGGAACAAAAGCAAACTATACCCGTCTGTGGGCTAACAGTACTTCTTCCTGGGATTCAGTTATTCAAAACAAGACAGGCAGAAACCAAAATGAAAACATTAACACAAACCCTATAACTCCTGAAGTAGATTATAAAGGTAATTCTACAAACATGCCTGAAACATCTCACATCGTAGCTTTAACTTCTAAATCTGAACAGGAGCTTTATATACCTTCTGTCGTCAGCAACAGTCCTTCAACAGTACAGAGCATTGAAAACACAAGCAAAAGTCATGGTGAAATTTTCAAAAAGGATGTCTGTGCGGAAAACAACAACAACATGGCTATGCTAATTTGCTTAATTATAATTGCAGTGCTTTTTCTTATCTGTACCTTTCTATTTCTATCAACTGTGGTTTTGGCAAACAAAGTCTCTTCTCTCAGACGATCAAAACAAGTAGGCAAGCGTCAGCCTAGAAGCAATGGCGATTTTCTGGCAAGCGGTCTATGGCCCGCTGAATCAGACACTTGGAAAAGAACAAAACAGCTCACAGGACCCAACCTAGTGATGCAATCTACTGGAGTGCTCACAGCTACAAGGGAAAGAAAAGATGAAGAAGGAACTGAAAAACTTACTAACAAACAGATAGGTTAGTGAAGAAAAATGCAAAGTAGCAATGAGAAGGCTTATGGAGTAAAAATGAAGTCAGTTGGTATTTAATCCCAAAGTGTTGTTCTGATTATCTAAAATTTGACATGGTAGACCTTGCAATTTAGAATCAAGCAGGTGAGACAGGGAGAAGTATGCCTGCTTAATTATTTAAACTGTGTACTTTTGTTTTGACACTGAATATTTTAAAAAGCAAATAATAAAATAACTAAGCATTTGAGGAAAATTTTAAGGATAAATTGAGGAAACTGATTAATAGAGATAGCAAGGGATAATTAAATAAATATTCCCTATGTAGCAACAGTGGTTAGATGATCTTTGTCTGAATGTAATTAAACTTTGAATAGTTTTAGTGTGTCCTTAAAGCCAAGTATATGCTTTAACATCAAATGGAAGTCAAATTCCTAATGCATAGATAGAGAGAGCTAAACTGTGTAATTTAATGGTATCTTCTTTGCTGGATGTGGCAGAATCCACACCAGCTTATCAACCAACACAGCTAATTTTAGAATAGATCCTTTATCTTTCCATATGGCACACGTAAGAAAGTGTTTTTCTACTATTAATATTAAATTAAAACCTTTACTTTTGTATAATAAATTAAAACTCAGAATAAACCTGTGACCACGTATATTTGCATTCACTTTATTACTTTAGAGAACACATTGTAAAGATCAATAAGAAATAGAGCACAACTAAAATAAATAAGATTTATAGCCACACCAATAGGCTAAGTGTAAACGCAAAGTATGTTTCACTGTTTATGATTAATAATATTCATCTTTTCTATAAATACTACTTACTGGAACATTAACAACAAGTACCAAAGGTTGATTAATTTTTGGACTTCAAGGATGCCAAGTAGCCTAATGATTTATTAGGGGTGTGTGTGTGTGTGTGTGTGTGTGTGTGTGTGTGTGTGTGTGTTCAAATCTGGAAAACTGCATACTTCAGGTTATAATTTAACCTTTAAAGAAACTGGCTTCAAGTAAAATAATGACTTACATTTAAGTTGAGAACCCCCCATCTTCAATTAAATATATTACAAAAATTGGTTTGAGAGACTTTCCAAATATCTACTGAAATTAACACAGGGCTAAGATCAGGCCACATTTCAAAAATCTCATCCCTTACTGGGCATTTATTTCGGGCAATATAGTAACCATTTTAAAAATATTTTTTATATGTTTTTTCCCAAGTATGACTACAATCTTACTCTCCCTTCTAAGCTAGTGATTCTTACCCTGGCTGCATGTCAGAATCACCTGAAGAGTTTTTAAAAAACACCAATGCCTAATTCCCATGTCTTCCTTCTGATGCAACTGGAATGGGGTGAACTCTAAGCATTGGTAATTTTTACGTAACTCTCAAGGTGATAACTGCTCTTGGTCATCAAATTCAAACGTCTAGCTATTATTAAAATGAGAGGAAAAAAATAAAGCATCATTTTTATTATCAATTTATTAGCAATTTGTAAAAAACAAATCTATTCTCTAAACGAGAAATCATAACAATATTATTCCAGATAAAGTTAAGTGTTAACAAAGTAAAAAGGAAAGCATGAGAATATTCATGCCAGTCATGGTGACTGAAATCAGGTTATCTTTTGAGGGGAAAAATAACCCAGATTAGAAATGAAACTGGGCAGACTTCCCATTCTGTGCAAAAATTGAAAATTTGAGATTGTGCACCAGTACATCCAGGAGTAACACAAAGCACTCCTTGAATCAAGGGTCATAAATAAACACTTGTCAGAGAAAATTAAAAGAAATTAATATCATCATAAAAATAGGAAATTACTTTCATATTCAACATACTGGTCAAACATTTTCTCACCAGAGAGCTTCTACCACAAGGATATTTAAAAGAATATTTAAAATTCACCACTCACTATCTTGGCTATTAAACATATACTCTCAGAATGGTACTATCCAATGATAGTTACTGAACAAACAGAAGTGTTTCCTTTCCAAATGACAGGTATTTTAAAATGGTAGGTAAGATATCTTTGAGTTCAAAATTTAAAAGTCATTTAGTTTTGAACAAAAACACATTCCCTACCCCTGGGTATTACAGTTCACCAGCTTAATTCAGGGATTTAAAAATAGTGAATCAGGTTAGGCACAGTGGCTTACACCTATAATCCTGGGAGGATCACCTGAGGCCAGGAGTTTGAGGCCAGCCTGCACAACAAAGTAAGAGCCTCATCTTTACAATAAATAAATAAGCCAGCCAGCGAGCATAGTAGCATGTGCCTGTAGTCCTAGCTACTCGAGAGGCTGAGGCAGGAGGATTGCTTGAGGTCAGGAGTTCAAGACCAGCCTGCGCAACACAGCAATACCCTGTCCGTAAAAACAACAATACTTCCAAAAACCAGTGAATCAAAAGCTTTATAGCATTTGATTATATTATGCTTTATAGTAGGAGCCCATAAAAAAAAACTATTCTTTTTGCACCAAGCTATAAGTACCCTGAAGTTAAGAACAAGGTCATAATAACCTGTGTTTCCCGCAGTGACCAGGAAAAAGCAGTGCATGGGTTAACACATTCCGTACCTACTATAATATGCATCATCCAAGGCACTTTACATTTATTTAATTCCACAATAAGCTTATAAATTAGGAATTATGATCTCCATTTTTCAAGAGAGGAAAGGTGACTTACTCAAAGAAATTTTTATTCAGATGGACTCACTCCTTTCAATACACTTTGTTTAGTTAACTTAAAAATTTTTTGTATTTTAAATTTTTGTGGGTACATAGTAGGTGTATATATTTAAAGGGTAATGAGATGTTTTGATACAGTCACGCAACGTGAAATAATCACATCATGGAGAATGGGGTATCCATCCCTTCAAGCACTTATCCTTTGTGTTACAAAGGGTCCAATTACACTTTTAGTTATTTTAAAATGTATAATTATGGTATTAATGACAGTCACTCTGTTGTGCTATCAAATAGGTCTTATTCATTCTTTCTATTGTTTTTTGTACCTATTAACTGGTAACACCATCTCCCCAACCCCTCATTACCCTTTAGTAACAAGTTAACTTTAGTTAACTTCTTATTTAAAAAATGATCCCCAATTTATTTTATTTTCCACTGAGAAGTAACTACTTTGTGGGTAATCAAATAAATAGTTGAGAACTTGAACTCAAAAGTCACTAGTAAAATATTTGGTCAAAATAATTTAATTACAAATATACAAATGGCAAACAGGCATACGAAAGGGTACTCAGCACCACTGATGAGAGAAATGCAAATCAAAACTACAATGATACCTCATCTCACCCCAGTTAAAATGGCTTATACTCAAAAGACAGGCAATAACAAGTGCTGGGAAGGGTGTGGAGAAAATGGAACTCTCGTACGCTGTTATTGGGAATGTAAATCAGTAAAACCACTATGGAGAACAGTTTGGTGGTTCCTCAAAAAACTAAAAATAGAGCTATCATATGATCCAGCAATCCCACTGCTAGGTATATACCCAACAGAAAGGAAAACTGTACAAAGAGACATCTGCACTCCCACTTTTGTTGTAACACTATTCACAACAGCCAAGATTTGGAAGCAACCTAAGTGTCTATAAACAGATGAATGGATAAAGAAAATATGGTACATATACACAATGGAGTATTATTCAGCCATAAAAAAGAATGAGATCCTGTCATTTGCAAAATAATGTAATTATACTTTTACCCTGGACTTTTTATATTATGAGGAAATAACATTACATTTATTGGTTACCTGCAGTTGGTGAGGCATTTATACATGTTATATTATGCTATCTTATTTAATCCTCACAATAACCCAATAAAATATTCCTTTAGAGGAGGAAACGGTGACTCAGAAGTGCAGAGTCTTGCCTAAGGTCATACAAGTAAACAGAACACATCACTCACTTCTTATGAGAAGAAATCTCACTGTAAGTGATAACCCAACTGGCAGCTTTTCTTCTTAGAACATGTAATTTTCTCTTCGGGACTCCATCCTAAATATTTAATTTACATAATCATATTACTAGAGTATCTCAAATATTTATTTACATAATTAAAAGCACTCAAATCATAGGGCTCCAAAATGTATTTCAAAATAAGTTCTGTTAAAGTAATATATTTCTTAGTCACTTTGTGGTTTATTGCACTTCCGGAACCAGCTATTGATAAACTTCCTCTTTTTCTACAGAAACTATTTCAGTTTGCTAGAGGAACATTTTAAATCTGAATTGAACCACCCATTTTCCTTTCTTAGCCAAATCACCAAAATGTCCAGTTAGAACAAGAATTTAGCATTCTGCAAAAGAAGTTAACAGCTGAGGTAAGAAAATTTTCACACAATTTGGTTTGATCTTGCTTTATATAAAATTTATTTTAAAAACTGTCATTAGTGTTTTAAACTTAAACTCTGATAGTCTAAAGATGTCTATAACAGGTTTTTGTGGTTTTGTTGCATAGAATTAAAAAATACTCAGTTCAGCTTGCCTTAGAAAAATATTTTCACCTAGGTTTGTATAAGACCTTTTAAGTTTATTTAATCTCACACACACACACACACACACACACACATATTTTTTTTTTTTTTTGAGATAGAGTCTTGCTCTGTCTCCCAGGCTGGAGTGCAGTGGCATGATCTCAGCTCACTGCAACCTCCACCTCCTGGGTTCAAGCAATTCTCCTGCTTCAGCCTCTCAAGTAGCTCGGATTACAGGCGCCCACCACCACGCCTGGCTAATTTTTTTGTATTTTTAGTAGAGATGGGGTTTCACTATGTTGCCCAGGCTGGTCTCCTACTCCTGACCTTGGGTGATCCGCTTACCTCCGCCTCCCAAAGTGCTGGGATTACAGGAGTGAGCCACCGCTCCCAGCCACAATCATATTTGTTAACCTTAGTTTTAGAATTAAAAAGAAACTATAGCCATGGCAGATAAAGCTAAGGGTTAGAAATAGAACTAGATTCCACAGGCTATGACTGAATTTATAACCTCCAAAATATTAATTGTTAAAAGTTCTAATGTACTTTTTATAGAATTTTCCTGTACATAATATAATGCATAAATTAAAATTTTTGTATCCCCTTTAGTCTGCATAGTAAGAATGGTCACCTTCACTTAATTTAGAAAGAAAAAGAAATCAGATGTGGTATTTGACTATTATTATTATACATGCTTTATTTTTTACATATAGATTTTATATTTAATAATGATGACATGAAAACATTATGGCTCATTTTAAAAGCTTACTAAGCCAAAAATGTTAGTCAATAATCAAACATGCATGCGTATATTAATATCATCTACGTGTTTATGTCACATTATCTGAGACTTTAGAACATAGTATAAGATAGAAGAAACCTATAGAATAAACAATAGAAAATTGTTAATATGCATAAAAGATGCTTGCTGTGGGTAAAATGGGCAAATTAAAAACTGCAAAGAGTATTTTACATAGACTTGTAATTTCAGGGAATAATATGTTCATAGTGGGTGATATCCCATTTCAACACTTAATAAATATTCATGACTTTCTCTTAGAAGGATTTCTTCTAAGTAATTACTGTGGAAGTCAGAAAATAAAGATATTTATCTCTTTTTCAGATTAGGCTTGTCTATATATTTTTCTACTTCTAATATTTAGTTTATTTCATTATGCATAAAGTCATAAAATTATATTAAATTTTTTTCACTGTCATATTTCATAAAATTAAAAAATTTCCCATCAATCCTTATGGTGTGTTTTTGTCATAGAATCCCATACTTTTTTTTTTTTTTTTTGAGATGGAGTCTCCCTCTGTCACCCAGGCTGGTGTGCAGCGGCACCATCTTGGCTCACAGGCTCACTGCAACCTCCGCCTCCCAGGGTCAAGAGATTCTTCTGCCTCAGCCTCCTGAGTAGCTGGGATTACAGGCACCCACCACCACGCCTGGCTAATTTTTTGTATTTTTAGTAGAAACGGGGTTTCACCATGTTGGTCAGGCTGGTCTTGAACTCCTGACCTCAAGTGATTGGCCCACCTCGGCCTCCCAAAGTGCTGGGATTACAGGCAGAAACCACTGCGCCTGGTCCCATACATGTTTTTAAAGGGTTAGTCCCAAATCTAAAGTTTACTAGTAGTGCCTGTGTTTTCCAGCTAATTCCCACATAATTCTACTTAGAAGGAAACTTTAATTCTGATTAAGTTTGAATTGAGAAACATAAATCTGATGCCTTTCAATGTCCAAGCTTTAAAAAAAAAATCACCACAAAATTTTCAGTAAACTTACTAAATATGACACTTTATAGAAACCATTCCAAATTCTTATAATAGTTTTCGTAGAATCAGGACTAAAATGGGTTTTCAGGTATTTCTTTCCTACCCTTTATCTAAGACTACCTACAAGTGTTATTTACGTGTAATTCCCACCAACTCACATCTCCTTCCTTCATAAAGCATTTCTATTTCATAACTTTTCTATGAAAGGCAGTATAGCACATACAGTGAAATGTGATAGAAAGAAACGGTTCTGGCACAAGATTAGCATGATTTTTGTATTAGTGCCACTACTTAGAGCTGTGATACTGCCAAGTTACCCAACATCGTGGTGTCTCAGTTTCCTTATCTGTAGGATGAAAAAACCACCACCTAGCTAATTAAAATAGGATACTGCTTAGCCTTTGGTGGGTGCTCAGTAAATGGTCACTATCATGATACAAGATGGTCATCAAATACTTCCTATTGTAGTTGAAGGTCAATTTCTCTTTCCACTTTTCCTCAAGATGCAGAATGGCTGGTTTTTTCTTTTACGGTTTCAAAACTTCACTAGTTAGAGATAATACTACTGCTAAATTTTAATCTATTATATTTGCATCACAACTTTTATTATATCAAAGTAATTGATACAGCTATCTATACTTGTCTTTTGTCTAGGATATGCTCTCCAAATCTTGATTCTCTTTAAAAGATAATGGCATACTTCCTAACATATCCAACTTAACAGCATCAATTTTAAATGCTGGACCCTTTAAGTACTTATGCATTATATTTATAAGAACATGTCTATGGCCGGGCTCGGTGGCTCATGCCTATAATTCCAGCACTTTGGGAGGCCAAGGTGGGTGGGTCACTTGAGTCCAGGAGTTCAAGGCAAGTCTGGGTGACATGGTGAAACCCCATGTCTACAAAAAATACAAAAATTAGTTGGGCGTGGTGTAGTGCACCTGCAGTTTCTAACTTCTTTAGGGAAGCTGAGGTGTGAGGAGGATCGCTTGAGCCCAGGAGGCAGAGGCTGCAGTGAGCTGAGATTGCACCACTGCACTGCAACCCGGGTGACAGAGTGAGACCCTGTCTCCAAACGGAAAAAAAAAAAAAAAAAGAACATGTCTTATACACGGGGACTCCTGCTTCACTGTAACTGTCTTTAAAATGTTTAAATTTATGTTTTTCTTTTTAAAATATTCTAAATATTCAGCAAAGAAAAAGAACCAAAATCACAGATTTAAACCTCAAAGTGCCAGCCTATAATAATGAGTAAAAACCGGCATATGAGGGCTGACAAATTTGCTTGAGCAGCAGACTAAGGGATTTCTGGAAAACTCTATATAAAACGTACACGGGTACATGGGTTCTTTGGAATAATTGCTAGGTATGCTTCTGGATAGTGTCAGGGAAAAAAAAAGGGAGAGGATGGTAAGGATACTCACAGCAGACAGGAGAGCCTGAAATGAAAGGTAAATGAATTTGAAAGGATGGTTCCTTCTGGTCCTCCATTTTAGAAAGCAAGCTCCTCTTTACTGTCTCCCTGCACTCACAAACACAGGCCAGCCACAACAGAGCAGCATTTTGCCGTTGCTTCTTTCATCTACTTCAATCATCTCCCCCCACCCCCAACTTCATTTTGCCTACTTCAATCATCTACACTGCCTTCTTGCTAATTATATAACCACTGCTTTTTTTTTCACCTGTTTATTAACTTTTCTTCTTTTCTGTATCTTCTCTAGTCAATTGACCTTCCTCTTTTCTGTTTGCTGCTTCCTAGAGTTTTTGTTTTTTCTCTTTTGTGTTATTTTGTATTTCTTTGCATTGCCTTTTATATTATTCTAAATCTCCTTTTTATTCCCCTGCCCAATATTGTTCTTTACCTACAGAAACAATGTTGGTACTTCAGGTACACACCACTTACATATTTTAAAATGTGTATGCTAAATAACCTTCCACACTGGTAGTAACGCTGGCCTCATTACCGCTGGGAAAAAAGTCAGTTTTTTCCACTACCATATTCCCTATTTATTCCTCTTTTAAATCTTTCTTCTCCTTCTCTGGACTACACTGAATTGCCATCATAGAATTCTAATACAGTTTCTAGTACTCTGATGTGGCAGATCCTAGGAGGATAAAAAGCTAACTGAAGAGTGGTAGAAAGTGTTAGGATAGGCAAAAAATGGAATTTGGTTTTAATATTGCCATAACCGTTAACTGACAAGTGAAAATCTCATACATGGAGGGTTCCACCAGCTTACTACTGACAGTAGAGGATAGGAGCCTATCAAAATTGATCTTACAAACTAACCTGGGTTTAAAATTATGTTCCTGTTTGGGCCCTGTCCTTCTCTAATGCCTTTTTCAGCTAACTGAAAAGAGGAACCGTATGGTTTCCTTATTTTAAGCAAAGTCACAAAAGAGGAAACATTTTTGGCTAAAGACAATTCATGGCTTATATTTTCTGATGCTTTGCATAGCATTAAAACAGATTTTTAAAATGAAATTCTGAAGAGAATAACATTTTCTAAAGAAGTCCCCCCGCCTTTTTTTGTAATCTATAAGAATAATGGGTAGGAACTGCATGGATGATGACCATCCAGAGATTATTCAAATCCCTATATCTATGCCAAAAGTGTTCAAATTTTCCCTTTTAAATCTTTTGCAAAATGGATAAAAAGCAGAATTTATTAACTCAGATTTCACTGCCTCTGCTTATTTTCTGGTAGAAGTACTAGTAAAAAGCAAAAACTAAAATGGAAAGGAATCAAGAAGCCCAATACAGGTTAAATGTTTACTGTGCTCCTAATATATAAGGCATTAACTACAAAGAAATCAAAATATAAAAACATGAGGCAATAAAGGGTAGCAGAAAGAATGTATGCTTTGGAATCAGGTGGCCCTGGGTACAAACTCCCAATCTGTCACTTCGAGTGGTATAACATCAGGCAAACTGCTTAACTCATTTGACACTGTCTCTTTATCTGTAAATAAGGGATCCCTTTACCTTCCTTATAAAGTCATTTGAAGGTTCTGTGAAATAAAGTATGCAAAACTGGGATAGTACAACACATAATATGCTCTAGATAAGTATTTTTCTTTCTCCTTTCTGCCTTCTTCAAGGTTCTTTATAATCTTGTTCAAGGAAGTAGGTATAGGAAAATGTGAAAAGTAAACACAATTACTTAAGAGAATAGAAGTGTGAGTGAGATACATACATGAATTATGTAAGGAACCATAAAAACAATAAATGAGAGCTAGGGGGAATTCAGTAAATGACTGATCTGTTTGGGCTGTAGTCAGTCACAGAGAACTTGGGTTAAGAAGGGGAATTTAAACTGAGGTCTGAAAGATGAGGACAGATTCAGATATGCAGCCAGAAAGGGGAAGAGGCTAGGTCTGGAAGAAAAATAAAAAAAAAGAACACCCTTGAGAAGGGTAAAAAACAGCATAGAAGTGTCTGTTTAGCAGGGAAAAATCGTGTGTTTAGAAAGTATGCAAGGTGGGAAAGGGATGCATTTGGCTGGATAAGAAGTTTCAGTCATGATACGTGAATCTGGACTGGTTAACTCAAGCCAGAAGGAAGAAAACTCAATTTAGAAGTTTTATCTTAACAGGCCAGGCGTGGTGGCTCATGCCTGTAATCCCAGCATTTTGGGAGGCTGAGGCGGACAGATCACTTGAGGTCAGGAGTTCGAGACCGGTCTGGACAACATGGTGAAACCCTGTCTCTACTAAAAATACAAAAATTAGCCAGGTGTGGTAGTGTATGCCTACTGTAGTCCCAGCTACTCGGGAGGATGAGGCACAAGAATCGCTTGAACCCAGGATGTAGAGGTTGCAGCGAGACAAGATCATGCCACTGCACTCCAGCCTGGGTGACAGAACGACTCTGTCTCCAAAAAAAAAAAGAAAAAGGAAGTTTTATCTTAACAGAAATTAAACCCTCAAGCAAGGCAGTAGTAACCTGATCATGCACACTTTTAAGATTAATTCAGCAGTGTGCAGGAGAGTTCAAAGGAGAACTGTTTTAAAATTCAGGCTTGAATTATTCGTATAGGGAAAAAAATCACATATCTTTTCTTCTACTAAAACAGGGCCATTTATCATCACTGTGTACCAAGTGGTAGAGGAGTAAGCAATGATATGCTGTTTAGATATGCTGAAAAGGTAATTTGTAAAACCTTTATTGCACCTTCCAACAGAACATCAAATCTCTCTAAATATAGGCTTATGAGTCAGAAGAACTATAGTTTCTAATCATGTATACCAATATCTAACACCCTAAGATTTTCTATTCCCTAATGTTAAGAGATAACCAAATAGTTGCCATTGTGTTTGATGATGTGCAAAACAAGTATATTATACCAAAAGTTGCAAATTGTCTCAGTAGAACTCTTCACTTTAGAGGAAAGGCAATTGAGAACAGGAAAGGTTAAGCAACTAGTTCTCATGGTTAGACAGGTAGTTAGATGGGAGAAGTAGAACTGAAACTTAACTCTCCAAGTTTTAGCATCTACCACATCCCAGAAAAAGCCCTATCTGCCAAACTTTCATATGTGCCTTATTTTCCTGTGCCCACATTGTTGCTCTCCCTGGCTGGAAACTTAATTAGTTTTTATAGACTTTTAAAATTCAGTTCAAGCTTTACTTCACTGAAGCCTTTCCAGGCTAGGTTAACTTCTCTGTACATCTCCTGCATACTTTTATGAGAAAGCTTATCAAATTATTGTAATTGGGCCAGGCGTGGTGGCTCACACCTGTAATCCCAGCACTTTGGGAGGCCAAGGCAGGCAGATCACCTGAGGTCAGTTCTCGAGCAGCCTGGCCAACACGGTGAAACCCCGTCTGTGCTCAAAATACAAAAATAGGCCAGGCGTGGTGATGTGTACCTGTAATCCCAGCTACTTGGAGGCTGAGAGAGGAGAATCAGTTGAACCTGGGAAGCGGAATTTGCAGTGAGCCCAGATTGTGCCACTACACTCCAGCCTGGGTGACAGAGTAAGACTGTCTTGAAAAAAAAAAAATTATTGTAATTATTTTTTAGCTTTTTTTCTTTCTTCTTTTTATTTAGAGATGGGATCTTACTATGTGGTCCATGCTGTTCTTGAACTCCTGGCCTCAAACGATCCTCCCATCTTGGCTTCCCAAAGTGCTGGGATTACAGGAATGAGCCACTACGCCTGGCCTTTACTGTTTGCTTCTATCACTAGAATCTGAAACACTTAAAGGCAGTGACTATCTTTTTTTTTTTTTTTTAATCTCCTAAACCTAGAACAGAGCTCCACACAAATGTGGCATTTACCAATAGATGAATGAAAGCAGCAGCAGGACTACTTGACCAACTGGATTGAATTTACTCCACCAGATTCAGAGATCACTCTAGGATTTTAAGCCTAAGACTCTGAGTTGAATGAAATTCTTTAAAAATATGCAATATTAACATAAGGCTACCACGCTACAGAGACACTAAGGATGCTTCAAAGATTACTAATAGACTCTGTGCCTAAGAAACTTAGTGGTACCATTAACAGATACAGAGAAGTTGGGAGAAGAGTCAGTTGTCAGTTGTGAGGGTAAAGATGAACTCCATTTTAAATATGTTGAATTTGCTGATAGTGGGAGATATTTATATCTATATCTATGTCTATCTATCTATATATATAAAATATGGAAAAATCCACCAAGAAGTCACACAAATAGAATTAGGACAAAGAAGATGTAGGCTGGAGGTACAGGTTTAGGAATTGTGGCATAAAGCTGAGAACTAAAATCTTACAGAATCAGGAACAAAGAAAAGTAGGTAAGGGTGAGGACAGAATATCAATTAACCATATTTAGGAGGCAGAAGAAAAAGAGCTAGTGAGAGTAACATGAAAGGAAGACTGATTACAAAAAGCTACTTGAATATTAGTGAAGGAACAGTAGTGTCTAATGTGGTCAAGGAGGGGAGGGGAGAGAAGAAATAAAGAACAATTAGATTAGGTAACAGATGATCACTGGTGTTCTTCAAGGCAGGAGAATCAATATATTTCTAGTAGAAAATGGTGAAAAAAGGTAGAGAACACATGGATCCAGCATATAGAGCCTATGCGTTTTGAGAAGTATGACTAAGTGAAGTACTGAAATATAATGAAGCTAGAGGGGCAGCAGAGCCAAGTACAGAACTTGTATTAATAAAAGAAGAGAGATCACTGCTTATGAGGTCCAAATGCTGTATGATGGGTTAGAGTATATCCAAGAGTTGTTACACCAAACCTACAGTGTATCAAGTCTAAATTAGGAATAATAACTACTAATCAACTACTACTAATTAGGAATAATGTCTACCTACTTTATGCCAGGAATCATAATGAAAAGTCAAATTTTTAACTAGACACCAATGACGCCTAACTGTCTTTCTCTTTCATTATAAACCCGCTATAGATAACGAGGAAATATTCTGAAATGGATCCCAAATATTTCATCTTAATTTTGTTTTGTGGACACCTGAACAATACATTTTTTTCAAAGACAGAGACAATTACAACAGAGAAGCAGTCACAGCCTACCTTATTCACATCATCAATGTCACAGGTATTGGCTAATTCTCAAAACACAACAGGGAATCCTTTGGGTCAACCAACACAATTCAGCGACACTTTTTCTGGACAATCAATATCACCTGCCAAAGTCACTGCTGGACAACCAACACCAGCTGTCTATACCTCTTCTGAAAAACCAGAAGCACATACTTCTGCTGGACAACCACTTGCCTACAACACCAAACAACCAACACCAATAGCCAACACCTCCTCCCAGCAAGCCGTGTTCACCTCTGCCAGACAACTACCATCTGCCCGTACTTCTACCACACAACCACCAAAGTCATTTGTCTATACTTTTACTCAACAATCATCATCTGTCCAGATCCCTTCTAGAAAACAAATAACTGTTCATAATCCATCCACACAACCAACATCAACTGTCAAAAATTCACCTAGGAGTACACCAGGATTTATCTTAGATACTACCAGTAACAAACAAACCCCACAAAAAAACAATTATAATTCAATAGCTGCCATACTAATTGGTGTACTTCTGACTTCTATGTTGGTAGCTATAATCATCATTGTACTTTGGAAATGCTTAAGGAAACCAGTTTTAAATGATCAAAATTGGGCAGGTAGATCTCCATTTGCTGATGGAGAAACCCCTGACATTTGTATGGATAACATCAGAGAAAATGAAATATCCACAAAACGTACATCAATCATTTCACTTACACCCTGGAAACCAAGCAAAAGCACACTTTTAGCAGATGACTTAGAAATTAAGTTGTTTGAATCAAGTGAAAACATTGAAGACTCCAACAACCCCAAAACAGAGAAAATAAAAGATCAAGTAAATGGTACATCAGAAGATAGTGCTGATGGTTCAACAGTTGGAACTGCTGTTTCTTCTTCAGATGATGCAGATCTGCCTCCACCACCTCCCCTTCTGGATTTGGAAGGACAGGAAAGTAACCAATCTGACAAACCCACAATGACAATTGTATCTCCTCTTCCAAATGATTCTACTAGTCTCCCTCCATCTCTGGACTGTCTCAATCAAGACTGTGGAGATCATAAATCTGAGATAATACAATCATTTCCACCGCTTGACTCACTTAACTTGCCCCTGCCACCAGTAGATTTTATGAAAAACCAAGAAGATTCCAACCTTGAGATCCAGTGTCAGGAGTTCTCTATTCCTCCCAACTCTGATCAAGATCTTAATGAATCCCTGCCACCTCCACCTGCAGAACTGTTATAAATATTACAACTTGCTTTTTAGCTGATCTTCCATCCTCAAATGACTCTTTTTTCTTTATATGTTAACATATATAAAATGGCAACTGATAGTCAATTTTGATTTTTATTCAGGAACTATCTGAAATCTGCTCAGAGCCTATGTGCATAGATGAAACTTTTTTTTAAAAAAAGTTATTTAACAGTAATCTATTTACTAATTATAGTACCTATCTTTAAAGTATAGTACATTTTACATATGTAAATGGTATGTTTCAATAATTTAAGAACTCTGAAACAATCTACATATACTTATTACCCAGTACAGTTTTTTTTCCCCTGAAAAGCTGTGTATAAAATTATGGTGAATAAACTTTTATGTTTCCATTTCAAAGACCAGGGTGGAGAGGAATAAGAGACTAAGTATATGCTTCAAGTTTTAAATTAATACCTCAAGTATTAAATAAATATTCCAAGTTTGTGGGAATGGGAGATTAAAATGCATGTTTGAGAATAGAGAAATTTTCTTCTTGGTTTCATTGCAAAGAGTAAAACAAACATGTTAAAACATCAACTGAAGGGTTGGGTTAGGAACATTTACCCTGAAAAAAATATGAGGATGCATCATAAAATGTAAATATTTTCCTACCATGTTGGGGGGGCACAAATTTTAAAACTGGCATCTTTACAAGTTTCTTCTTTATAAACACCCAAACAAAATCAAGTTTTATAAAGCAAAAAAAAGGAAAAGAAGACTATGGCTTCATTCTAAATACGGGTGACTTTGGGTGATTTTTTTTTCAGGAAAAGAGACTATCAAAACACAGATGATTCTCAACTTTTTACTAAACTTATACTTTCTGATGCTATCCACTCTTAAATCACCTTTCTTACACAGAATTTCATCTTTATCCATTATCTGACAATTGGTAAGTCTGAGTTATTAGAGTAGGAATGGGCCCAATCTTTGTCAAAGTCAAGAGTGGTCATCAGCCTATACTTTTGGGGATGCCAGCCTTTGTCTGCAGAAGTGCTCCTTTGCCCAACAAGCACATATTCTTCCTCATTAGTCCCATCTAACTCCAGGGGGAAACAAGCACTTAGAATAAAATGGTAGCCCAGTCTTGGAGAACCACTCATAGTTCTGGGATTTTCAGAGTAGAACATAGCATTTATTCATAGCACTGGCATTCATGACATTAACAAAGCTCCATATTTAATAAGAACCAGTAGGGTTTTGGACACAGGAATTTTACATACAATGTTTTTCCTAAAATCTTTCAAGCCATCTTTACTGACCATTAATTTTTTAATCTATAGAAACACTTCCTTGAGCTTCTTACTTTTCCTGAATAAGCATGATACTTATTGTCATATTACATCTTTTGTCTTCCTCATTAAAAATTTTCTTTCATGTATTCTTCAAAGTTAGTACTTTTGTTCGAGACAGAGTCTCACTCTGTCGCCCACGCTGGAGTGCAGTGGCATGATCTTGGCTCACTGCAACCTCCGCCTCCCACGTTAAAGGGGTTCTCCTGCCTCAGCCTACTGAGTAGCTGGGACTACAGGCGTGCACCACCACGCCTGGCTAATTTTGGTATTTTTTTTTTAGTAGAGATGGGGTTTCACCATATTGGCCAGGCTGGTCTTGAACTCCTGACCTCATGATCCACCTGCCTCGGCCTCTCAAAGTGCTGGGATTACAGCCGTGAGCCACCGTGCCCGGCCCAAACTTAGTACTTTTAAAGCTAATTTCCCCAGCAGCAATCTGGAGTTGAGAATTTCCTATTATTCTTTTTAATTTTACGAATTTTTGTTATGGTAAATAAGATATGTTTTTATACTTGGCCAAGTCTTTGACATGCCTTAAATCATCATAACTGTTCTCATTTTACATTTGTGACAGTTACTTAATGGGCTCGTTCCACATTTTTGCCCCTTTTTACCACCTTCTTTCCTGAAAGAAATACAGGGAAAAATAGGGAAATACCAATTTTCTTAGATTAAACGGGAGCTGATTAGCTGACCACAGTGTTGTCTGATATCTTTAAGTACTTTTAAAGGGAGGTTTTCTCTTTCTGTTCTTTGTATAACAGGACAGACTACTGGCAGCAGCCGGGTTTTTATGTTGTCTTTTTTCCTTTTATTTTTTTTAAAGAAATTCTTTGCTGGGGGAAGAATAATTCACATTTAACTGCATGTAATTTTCCCCAGTGAGGTCAGTGGAAGCTGAGCAGCCAAACAGTGGCAATCCTTGCTTAATCAGCAGGAAGAGATACAAACTAATAAATGCAGGACAGAAGAAAATGCTGGAACAAAGAAAAATCTTTTAGAGAAAAGATTAAAGAACTAAGATCCAGAAGAGAAAGTTTATTTCATGAATACTGCAAAAGAATAAGGCACAGGGGAATAAAAGGTAGATTAAAGTTCACACCACATACTAGTGGTGCTCTTAACCAAAATAGCATTAACCAGAGTCAGACACAACCCTGAAGACCATTTGGTTCAACTCCTTTTGTTTGTTAACTACTGAGAAAACAGGACCAGAGAAAGTAAGTGATGTGCTTAGAAGTGGTATTAAAAGCTGAGTTTGCTCCCTGACTATTGGTTCAACACTCTTTTCACTAATATAGGACCAAAGAGCACCTACATCATGCACTGAAACATACATATATCACATAAGTCTTCTATTTGGTGTCAGTGGTGAGGGACACAAATGAATTAGATGAGGGTGATCTTTAACTGTTGTTCTTACTTAATTCTGATCAAAAAGTAAAGTAGCACCTTTGGGAACCTATAACTAAAACACTGTGGTACCGGTATATGACTAAACAAACAGATCAATGGAACAGAAGAAAAAGTCCAGAAATAAATATCAAATCAGTGGAAACAAGCATTGGAACAATTGGATAGACATCTGGAAAAAAGAAAAAATTTGATCCATACTTCACACTATATTGGAACACCAAGGACCAGAGTTCTAAATATAAACCATGAAATTATACAAGTAATAGAAGAAAATATGAGTAAATTCCTTTATAATCTGGAAGCGGGAAAAAACCTTCCTAGCTGAGACTCAAAATCCAGAGGCAATAAAAAGGGAAATCAAATTATATGAAACTTTTAAATATCACACACATGCAAGTGCGCATTACACACAGACACACACACCTCACCATAATAAAGCCAAAAGACAAATGGCAAACTGGAAAAAAAAATTAAAACTTAAATCAAGACAAAGTGCTAATACCTCTAAAATTTAAAATGCTCCTAATATGGGGCAGGAAGGGGAAGACCCAAAACACAACTTTTAATAGTGCAAAACATTAAAAAGACAGTTACAGGAGAAAACATTTAAATGGTCTTTAAACATATGTAAAGACATATACTCCCCCTCATAATTACAGAGATGCATTTAAAATTAGATGGAGATACTTGCCTATCAGATGGACAATAAATCCCAAAGTTCAACAACAAAGTATACAGTGAGGCTGTATAGAACTCGACACCATGATACACTGTTGGTGGGACTGCAAAATGGTATAATCAATGGAGAGGAATTTAGTAATGTCTGGAAAAATTCCAAATGCATTTACCCTTTTACCCAGCAATCCTACTTCTAGGAATCTTTTTCAAAGATTTACTGGCAAACATATAAAATTATTTAGGTACAAGGGTATTCACTGTGGCATTATTCGTAACAGCAAAAGTCTGAAAAACCCAGATGTCCACCAATAGGGGACTGGTTGAATAAGCCATGGTACATTCCCAAATGGAGTACTATGGATCAAACAGTGAATCATACAGATACCTATATACTGATATGGAGTGATACTCAAGATACAGTAAGAAAAGAAGAACAAGTTATCTAACAGTATGTATATATGTCACCTTTTATATTAGAAGGGGGGATAAGAACATACCATACATATGCTTACATTTTTTTTAGGTTTTCAAAAAGAAATGTTAATGATACAACGAAAAACTAATAAAAACAGTTACTAATAGCAGAAGGAAGGAAATAGGATGGAAAAGACAGAGAAGCAAGATTTATCTGAATATACATTGTTATATATATAATTTTGACTTGTGATCCTGAAAAGCTGAAAACTGAAACAAAGTTTATATCAAGTTGGTGATATAAAAATACACAGAAAAGAATTATTTCACATTGCATTAGAACACAGAATTTACTATACACTTTTAGTAAAATAAAGCAAGCAGAGCTACAAACAAATTTTAAACTTTATTCGGTAGTCTATAATCTAATTGTAGCAATCAATACTGGTATTATTTTGAAATTATTGTGAGATGATGCAAATGAGCAATTATGTCAATGATATGAGGAATCACTTATAGAAAATATGGGGGACAGAAGAACAAATTAAATCTTCCCAAAGAGTCAAAGAGAAAACTCCAAGATGAGAGACATTTTAGGAAATAATTGACTGAGTTTTGGCAACAAGCCAGTGGCATAAAGAAAAAAAGGAGTAGGGAGGTGGGCAAAGAAACTGATTCATTTGGATTTTGACTTGGTAATTTCTATGTTGTTATTTCTTTCATGCTTTTAAAGTACTTTATTGAGTACTCTCAGTTGTATTCAGCAGGAAAATCAGTCTAAATAGCCAACCATATTACCAAAAATAAACAATATCTGACTCTCAAGCATAGCAAATGTTACCTATAATAATGGAAAACTGAAACCACTGATTAGCGTGGGATAGCTATTCCTTGGCAGATGCTTTGTGATACCTTTCACAATGTTGGGGTAATATATCCTAGGACACAAAAGAATACGTAAATTAATTTACTGCTTAATCTAGAATGTAAAAGTTGCCTAACTATCATTACTGACCTAGACAGCCTAATAGAAAATGTAATGAGTCTGAATAAT
The DNA here is from genome assembly GCF_000001405.40 of Homo sapiens. Lineage (NCBI taxonomy): Eukaryota > Metazoa > Chordata > Mammalia > Primates > Hominidae > Homo > Homo sapiens. The sequence continues at coordinate 378,555 of NW_025791803.1, read as the reverse complement.
ATTTAAAATAAGTTGTAACACATACTTATGCCTCTAAAAAATATTTTTTTTGAGTAACAGTAATACAGTATTATTTTATTTCATGAGAATTTCTTTTATTTATTTATTTATTTTTATTATACTTTAAGTTTTAGGGTACATGTGCACAACGTGCAGGTTAGTTACATATGTATACATGTGCCATGCTGGTGTGCTGCACCCAGTGTAAGAGATTGTTAGAATTCAAATATATTGAAATGATCTCCCTTTTTCTTTTTGAGAATTTTACAATAATCTTTGAATAATATGAAGCAATTTGGTATGTCCCAAACTTGAAATGAGAAACATTGCCACTACTATTGCACTGGAATTTTCTATTATATACAACAGAAACTAAACTTGATACAGCCTAAACCCAAATTCATTTGAATCCATTAATGAAGTAACATGTCTTTTCTTTCAAACAAAAGTACTGTTAAGTGTAATGAAAATGCATAACTCTACTTCTACACTGACTTAATGAGGTTTCCTAAAATTAAGAGATTTAAGTGGTCGGTAAATTGACCCTCAGTCACATCTTTAGAAGTGCAGCAGTGTATATATGAGCTTAAATAGAACTCTAAATGTCAATGCATTCCCTATTTCCACAATATTGCTGAATGTAGTATTTTTAACACATTATTTTAAGCACTATGATTGATGGCTGGTTTCCTAAATCCACAGTAAGAATCCAATTGAGAGTTCAACTGAACCCTCAAAGTAAAGTGGCAATAAAGCACCCAATCAACAATAAACTTCTATGTTGCGGACTCTTAAAATGCAGATACTTTTCGAGGAACATTAGTTTTATACAAAAGGTGGCTCCTAGAGTATAGTTTCTCTTGTAAGAAAATAAACTTCAAATTTTAATACAACAAATTCTATTTGTGGTATAATCTAAATAATGCTAATATAATTTAGAGAAAAACAAACGATTTAGTAACAAGGCATAAAGAGACTTTCCTTACACATAACATGCTAAATATTACTCGTTTTTAAATGGTGCCACTTGGTAACGAAAATACCGTAACTTTATTTGCTTTCTTTAAACTTGCCATTCTGGAAATCAGATTTGTGTTTTAACAGATTTACACAAGCAGTCCACTGAAGAGTGGAGCAAAATTTATCATAAATCTGATCTCACTTTATAAAACTCATGATGAAAAATTTTCCTTTTATATCATTTCATGTAATTTTAAAACTATAAACTACTTTCCCAGAAAGATGAAATGTGCAACACTCTGAAATCACCTAAATTGATACTGCTATTCTTAAAACATAAAATCAAATAAATGGTCATTCATACAGCACCAAAAATGTCTTTGGAAAAAACAATACTCATATCCACTTACCACCCAAGGTTGCATAAAGAAAAAAAACTTTAACTCCAAATATATAAAATAAAACATGTTTATTTTACATAGGAACTGATAATCTGAAGTATAAGATGCTAATTTCCAAATGTATCCTGGCTTGTGTGTAGCCTTGGTCAAATGATCATTGTATCAGAAAGATAAAGAAAAAATAATCGTATTTCAGTACTTCTATACATCCTAAAAGGGAAGACGGAACACTTAAGTGGTTGATAAATTTGAAAAGCTGATTAAACATAATAATCACCATGTTGGGGGAAGACATAAAAGTCATAAAACAGATTTTTTATAATATTAAAAAAGTGACATGAAAATTATACAATTTTAGAAAGGAATATAAAAAGGCAGGAGTTAAAAAATAGTGGGACTAATATCATAGAAAACTATCCATGAGGAAGGTCAAATTTATTTTCAACATGTAAAAAGGATAAAGAGTAGAGGTATTTTAAAAATTCACAGATTCTTAATGAGGCAAATGTTAAAATATGGAACCCAATCTCAGACAAATACATAGAAAGGAGTAAGGGCCAACTCTCATGCATAAGGTATCCCATCCTATAGCAAATCAGATATATAGGTACGCTTGATGCCACAAATTTTTTAAAAAATTGTCCATTTTGTTGCGTGTGCACCTCTTGCCATAAATTTGAGTCAGCACCAGCGACAGCTCTGCAGTCCTCCTATGTGGTACTGATCAGGTGGTTGCAGAGCTTCAGCTCACAGCAACACAATGCAGCTGAGCAGGCAAGCACAGCCCACAGCCAGAAACAGTTCCGACTCTACAGAACAAGACGACCTTTAAGTTTCCCAGAGAAAATGAGATGCTGATGTTGAAGACGACACCACGGTAAGATGTTATTTAAATCAGTAAAAGGCTGACTTTGGAATCTTTTTCCTTTTTCTTTTAAGAAAAAGTCAACGTTAGGATTAAATATATATTCAATAGCAAGTGCATGCACCAGAAATTTGCTGCAGTGTCAGTTGAGGGATATTTTTTATACATTCAGTCACTCTGTAAATATACATATTGTTTTCCTTTAAAATGGGCACTGAAATATACAGAAAAAAATCACTTTATAAAATGTGAGGTTTATAGGTACTGTGTTGGTCTGGATTTTTCAAGTGCTTTTTACAAAGATATATTTATCCTAAAAACATACAGATAAAATTTCGAAGAACTGCTTTAATATCTAAATAAAATCTACCCTATATACACACATTGAATTACATTACTGCAGAGATTAAAAAAAAAAGACACGACAGCCATTTTTTCTCATCTGAGTAAGAAAGCATATCATCAAAAATAGTAATAGCCTACAACTGCAACTATTTATTTGCAAAGAATGCTATTTTATCATATTAAGGCTCTAGAAAGATAAATAAGAAAGAATATGGTTAGAAAAGGGGGGAGGGAGAGAGAAAATAAAGGAGAAAATGCAGGAGAGAGTAGGGAGAGAGTCTCTCTCTACCACATAGCCCAATTGAAGGATTAAGCATTTGGACTATAAATGAAGGGGAGCTTTGTTAGTTTAATCACTGGAACAATTATAAAAGGACTCGACAACAACGAGGTTTATTGAAAATTTTGCCTAATGCTAACTGACCCATGCAGATGCCTAAACTGTATTTGCATATTAAAAGAAGGGTGTATCTGTTTGTTTCTAGGCTTTGATGGAATATCAGATATTGAAAATGTCTCTCTGCCTGTTCATCCTTCTGTTTCTCACACCTGGTATTTTATGCATTTGTCCTCTCCAATGTATATGCACAGAGAGGCACAGGCATGTGGACTGTTCAGGCAGAAACTTGTCTACATTACCATCTGGACTGCAAGAGAATATTATACATTTAAACCTGTCTTATAACCACTTTACTGATCTGCATAACCAGTTAACCCAATATACCAATCTGAGGACCCTGGACATTTCAAACAACAGGCTTGAAAGCCTGCCTGCTCACTTACCTCGGTCTCTGTGGAACATGTCTGCTGCTAACAACAACATTAAACTTCTTGACAAATCTGATACTGCTTATCAGTGGAATCTTAAATATCTGGATGTTTCTAAGAACATGCTGGAAAAGGTTGTCCTCATTAAAAATACACTAAGAAGTCTCGAGGTTCTCAACCTCAGTAGTAACAAACTTTGGACAGTTCCAACCAACATGCCCTCCAAACTACATATCGTGGACCTGTCTAATAATTCTTTGACACAAATTCTTCCAGGTACATTAATAAACCTGACAAATCTCACACATCTTTACCTGCACAACAATAAGTTCACATTCATTCCAGACCAATCTTTTGACCAACTCTTTCAGTTGCAAGAGATAACCCTTTACAATAACAGGTGGTCATGTGACCACAAACAAAACATTACTTACTTACTGAAGTGGATGATGGAAACAAAAGCCCATGTGATAGGGACTCCATGTTCTACCCAAATATCATCTTTAAAGGAACATAACATGTATCCCACACCTTCTGGATTTACCTCAAGCTTATTCACTGTAAGTGGGATGCAGACAGTGGACACCATTAACTCTCTGAGTGTGGTAACTCAACCCAAAGTGACCAAAATACCCAAACAATATCGAACAAAGGAAACAACGTTTGGTGCCACTCTAAGCAAAGACACCACCTTTACTAGCACTGATAAGGCTTTTGTGCCCTATCCAGAAGATACATCCACAGAGACTATCAATTCACATGAAGCAGCAGCTGCAACTCTAACTATTCATCTCCAAGATGGAATGGTCACAAACACAAGCCTCACTAGCTCAACAAAATCATCCCCAACACCCATGACCCTAAGTATCACTAGTGGCATGCCAAATAATTTCTCTGAAATGCCTCAACAAAGCACAACCCTTAACTTATGGAGGGAAGAGACAACCACAAATGTAAAGACTCCATTACCTTCTGTGGCAAATGCTTGGAAAGTAAATGCTTCATTTCTCTTATTGCTCAATGTTGTGGTCATGCTGGCTGTCTGAGGGTCTGCATTTTCTGAAACTAATGAAAGCACTCCTCCCTGATGTACAGTTGGGAAAATATGTCCATATCTAACCAGTGATTCGAGCTATATTTAAGTATTCAAGAAAGCCAGTCTTAACATTTCTAACTCTGATGTAAATGAAGTAACTTGTCTTAAATAAAAGAAATGCACAATGTCTTGGTACTTGCTGCTATTTTACTGTCTTAATTAAGTAAACTAATGAGTTTCTTTTATAAAAAAAATGAAATGTTTTAAGGCTTCAATTTATTGCACAAAATATAAAGCATCTAAACTTTAATATGTATTTTATGTATGTTTACACTGTCAAACATCTGGAAAATAAAAGGTCTATGCTCATAACTGTGTCATTTGGCTTTCCAGTCATACCAACTTTAGCAGAATCAAAATGACCTCACCATTTTTGTTCTAGGGTACCTTGGTAAAATCTTTAAGGTAAATAAAATGGCGGTAGTATCCAAGGATATTTTACTGAAGTAAAATCGTAGCTGCCATCCCATGAATGGTTATGCTACAACATTATTTTACAGACAAGCCATAATTGTTTTAAATCTAAATGATGTCCTGCTTCTGAGGAACTCTTGGCTACTTGACAGATTATATAATGGACAAAAGCTCTTCAAAAAGCTAGAAGACACTAGGCTTTGCATTTTAATAAGAAAAGTTTAACGGTTGTGTTTTTTGCATGTAAGAAAAGTGTTAAAAACATAATGAAAAAATTTAAAAACATGTAAAGAAGCAGTTTTAGTGCAGATTTAACACACCATTAATGGAGAATTTAAATATTTACAAAATTAAAATCCTACTACATGAAGGAGAAGAAAATTTATCTTTTACAAATCAGAAATCAGAATTACCTAAATTAAAAATAAGATTAGCTTAAGAATAAAATCATTGGGTCTGACGAACTTGGGCAGTACTGAGGAAGTGAGGAAGGAGAGAGGGAAAGGGAAAAGGGCATTTGGTACTACAACCAGGTGGTGAACCCAGTAAAACAGACTGAGGACTAAGGCTAGGCATGGGACAGAGATCTTGACACTCCAAATCAAACCACACTGGAACTCCAACTAGAAGAAAATCACTGAGAAATTCTCTACAAATATAAAAGTTAGCCAACTTATGAATTAGTGACAAACATAAGAAACAGCCACAAGGCAGCAAAAGAAGTCCTGAAACAGGATTGATTAAAATGCAAGACAGCATAACTGAGATGGGTGAGACACAAATGTGGTATTTAATTTGTGAGACGTAAGGCAGAATCTCATTTCAAGCATTTCTAGAGGTGGGAAAAGATAGAGAAAGGAATTTTTATGTTCCTTCGTAAAAACTTTTAAAAATTCAGATAGCCTCCTTTGCTGGTTTAGGAACATTTCTATTGAGAGAGAGAAAAGTAACAACACTCTAATGTGTTCTTTTTTTTGCTTTTTAAGGACCAGGATTATGGAAAAATTACCATTAAGCTTCAACAAAACAGTCATCTTTCATGCTGTCTAGTACAGTGGCTCTCGAACATTTTCTGCCTTAGCAAACCTGATTGGCTCACTGTGTCAGGGAATCTCACCATGAAGAAACAGGATTATTTGAAAAAGTCCCCTAAATGATTTTAAAATGCATTACCTCTCTATATACGGAAGCTATCTCCACTCCCTCCCAAACACTGATTAGTACCTTCACCATCCATGATAGGGACTAATTGCTTAGATAATCCCTACTCTACCACATACTTGTGTCTTATTTAAAAAAACATATACACCGACTTTCACAGAAAGTAGGTTTCTTTTTTTTTTTTTTTTTTTTTTTTTTTTTTTTTTTTTTTTGAGACGAAGTCTCGCTCTTATCCCCCAGGCTGGAGTGCAATGGCGTGATCTCGGCTGACTGCAATCTCCCCCTCCCAGGTTCAAGCAATTCTCTCACCTCAGCCTCCCAAGTAGCTGGGATTACAGGCGCCTGCCACCACGCTCGACTAATTTTTGTATTTTCAGTAGAGACGGGGCTTCATCATGTTGGCCAGGCTGGTCTCAAACTCCTGACCTCAGGTGATTCGCCTGCTTTGGCCTCCCAAAGTGCTAGGATTACAGGCATGAGCCACCACGCCTGCCCTGAAAGTAGGTATCTTAGAGGTAACTGTCTTTTCCTCTGAGGATACCAAAAACTCAATGCTGTCTTAGAATTTTTAAGGGGAAAAGTAATAAGAAAGTCAAATTATAGACTACTGCATTAGGAGCACCTATGGATTATGTCAATCCTACAGACATGTCTGCAAAATGCAGAGTCAAACTTGGTAAACTTACAAGTACAATATACGTCAACTACTCAGACTCTAAGTTCTTAGACAGAAGAATTATCTAGCCTTAAAGTAAAGTTGACCCTTGAACAACATGGGTTTGAATGGCATGGGCACACTTATACATAGATTGAAAGCACAGTATTTGTGGGATGTGAAACCCACATACTGTATAAATAGGTTCCACAAGGAAGCACGTTCCACAGGGCCGATTTTGGGATTTGAATATGCGCAAATTTTGGTATACACAGGGGTCTGCTAACCAATCCCCCAGATATACTGAGGGAAACTATAATTAGATAGTATTTCCTTCCAAAGAAATTATATTCTTATTATTAATGGAAAAAGGCTCATTATTTGCCACTAAGTATTACTATATTCCTGGCTCCAGAAAAATTTCAAAATGCATTAGTCCTTAGCATCTATCTCTCAAGCACATCAAATATGTATGCATATGTGTACAGATATACACATACCTATATACACATACATCTATATCTATCTTCACCCATCCATCTCTAAGGCTTGGCTCTACTTTACAAGCAACTTGCCTCTGCCACTTCTCAGCTGTATGACCATAGACAAGTTATTTCACTGCTCTAAGTCACAGTTTCCTCATCTATAAAATGGGCTGGCAGAACTTACAGTGGTTTTTTTCTGAAGATTAAATGACATAATTCACATAAACCCTTCACAGTGTCTTGGCCCACCCACATTCCTAGATGCAGTAATGTTGTTGTTGTGAGGATTATTATCACATCTGTATGTCCAAACCCAATGCTATGAGAAATTCCCATATATGGAAACATTTCAGCTCTACACACTGAGAGCAAGGGAATGAAAGGATGTGCTTGCTTTAGTCTCTTCCCTGCTAGAAATCAGGTTTAGATATCAGTGAAATAGGGACCCAGAAGAAAGTCAGAAAGACATTCACTTACCACAGCAGAATGAGAAGATGGCTTCTATAGCTAACTTAAAAGATCACAAATATGTGCTATTCAATATCTTCCATAATGATGCTATCAAACAACAGCAAATTCCTTTAATACCAAAAATGTCAGTCAAGAGTTAACCTAAAATCTTTCATAAAATTTTTCCTTATAAAATATATTTTAAGAACTAGATAAAAGAATGTATTACACACTACCACCCAACATCTTGCTGGTGAAGAATAACATATTTCTATTAAAATCACAATCGAAACAAGGATGCCCACTATTGCCAATCTTTTTTAACAATATTTGGGAAATTCCAAAACAAAAAAACAGAAATAACAGATATTGGCAACAAATAATTAGAAAATTATGGGAAAAATATACAATGTCAAGAAGTAACATTAACATGAAATATGCAGCATCAAATGGGGAAAATCTGAAAAATATTAATGAGAAGTATAAATTAAGACTTGATGCAGATGACAAACTAAGGTCTCTCCATTCATTCATTCATTCTTTCACTCAACAAATATTTAGTCAGCACCTGGAACATATCAAACACTAAGGTACAGAGGACTTTGGTGGGATACTATTACGTTGCAATTATTTCCAGTATAGTTTACAGATTAAGGCAATTCTGAAAAATATTCCAATGAGAAATGTTTTGGAACCTTAAGTTCACTTAGAAACAAGCAAGAATAGAAAAAGAAGTAAATACTACAGTTACATTAACTTATTTATTTATTTATTTATTTATTTATTTATTTATTTCATACAGAGTCTTGCTCTGTCACTCAGGCTAGAATGCAGTGGTGCGATCTTGGCTCACTGCATCCTCCACCTCCTGGGTTCAAGCGATTCTTCTGCTTCAGCCTCCTGAGTAGTTAAGACTACAGGTATGTGCCACCATGCCCAGCTAATTTTTGTATTTTTAGTAGAGATCAGGTTTCACCATGTTGGCCAGGCTGGTCTTGAACTCCTGACCTCAGGTGATCTGCTTGCCTCGGCCTCCCAAAGTGCTGGGATTACAGGCGTGAGCCACCGTGCCCGGCCGATATTAGCTTTTCTTGAGAGAGAAACATGTATCAGCCATAATAATTACAGAATGATAGTGGCATAAAAACAGAAAGATAACCACAATATAGAAACAACAGCACAATGAGAGCACAGGTACACAGAAGAACTGAATATGTGACAAAGCTTTACTTACTAGCTGTGTCACTTCAGCAAATTAGGTTTCTGTGCCTCTATTTCCTTACAGGGTTGTTGTGAGAAGAAAATGAGATAATACAGATAAAGTGTTTAGAACAGTGCCTAGCACACAGTAAATTCTCAAACATTGTTAGCTGTGGAAAGAAAAATCAGAAACCAAAGGGGAAAGGAAAAGACTCAATAAATGAGATGAGGAAATTGGAAAAAAGTTCAGTTTAACACTCACTTCATGTGATACACTGACAAAGTGAAAGAAAACATGAACAAGGAAGTCATAAAACCAGCAGAAGAATTTAAAAATATTTGTAAGTCTTCAGGTGGAAGGCTATTTAATTAGAAAAAAAAACAATCACAAAGAAATTATCAATAGATTGGTCTATACAAAATCCCCATTATGCTGAAACAACCAGCCTGATAAAAATATTCAAATAAGATGCTATAAAGGAGGTTGTTAATCAGGAGCTCATAAAACGGATGAGAAAAAAATCTTAAAATTCTCAATGAATAAATGGGCAAAGGACATAAAAAGAATGTTTACAAGATACAAAATACTATGATTAATATATGGGAATATGGCCAACCACGTAATTGAGAAATGCAATAAAAATGTGACATCATTTTTCACTATTAAAATAGCAAGCAATTAAAAAAAAAACCAACGATGGGGAAGGTAGAATGAAATGGCCATGTTCACATATTGGCACAATTCTTTGGGAAAGCAATTTGGCAATGAAATTTTTAAAAAAGTAAGATATTTTAACTTTTGTCTACAGTTAAGGCATTTAAACTTTTGCCTATAGGTAAATCACAGCATTCTTTCTAACAAGAAAAACTGAAACAACAATAAATATCCACCATTAGGAAATTAAGTAAACAATGACCCACTGACCAGAATATCTGGCCAATAAAAATATTTATGAAGAGTTTTTTAAAGTGTGAAATGTGGAAAACGCAAATATTAGAAAAATAAGAAAAAATTATAGGACATAGAACCATGTATTAAAAAGTAACAAAAAGAAAAATGCCAAAATGCTAACTAACACTGTAGACCAAGCATATTTTATTACCTGCCTTGTCCTTGAAATAGCCAAGAGATCTAAGAAAAGAACTACTGAAATGTTTGTCTAGGGCATCTAGACTGAGTAAGAAAACAAGAGAAATAAGAAGACACAAGATGAACTGTGTACCAACCCTTCCCTTTCAATAATTTCTCATATCTCATAATAAAATCTAAACTCTTAATATGGTTTACTGCATGATCAGGGCCTTGCTTCCCTTTAGAGTATCATCTTAAAATTTTCCAGCTCTCTAACATTTTATAGTTCAAACAAACAAAATATCCTCTGTCCCTTAGTCACCATGCTTCGTGCCACCAGGCTTTCAGAGATGCTGCATGTCCTCTCTCCCTCTTCTTGCCCTCTCAAACCCTACTCATCCTTTTGATTTCAGCTGAGACATTCACTTGCCCCTAGAAGTTTGTTTTTTTGACCACCTTTATCTGAATTTATAAATAAAAGAATGAATTAACATAGATCAAAGATGTGACTAGTTGGCTAACAATGACCTACTTAGGACAGACCAAGTCAAACCTGCGAGTCTTATTCTAGAGTCTAAGTTTCTTTCATTTATTTCAAAGTTACAGCTTCAAAGTCCTGAGAAAAGAAAGATCAAAGAAAAGTTAAGAATGAGGGAGGATTTGGCTAGGCTACTACTAGTCATATAAGAAACTAGTTCTGGGCCAGGCACCATGGCTCACACCTGTAACCTCAATAATTTGGGAGGCCAAGGTGGGTGGATCACTTGAGGTCAGGAGTTCAAGACCAGCCTGGCCAAAATGGTGAAACCCTATCGCTACTAAAAATATAAAAATTAGCTGGGCAGGCACCTATTATCCTAGCTACTCAGGAGACTGAGGCAGGAGGATCGCTTGAACCCGGGAGGCGGAGGTTGCAGTAAGCCGAGATCATGCCACTGCACTCCAGCCTGGGTGACAAGAGCAAGACTCTGTCTCCCACTCCAAAAAAAAAAAAAAAAAAAAAAAACAAAGCAAAAAAAACTAGTTCTGGGCAATGTGGAGTTACCTTTGGAACAATTCTAGAGAAAGGTTAATTCTGATACCCATGAACAATTCAATATAGAAAATTGCTCAAGGGAAGTTAGAAGAGAAGTAGAAACAAATGTCATGTTAAGGTGTTAATAATGTGTTAAGCAGATTAGTATGTTTCACATTTAGAAAACTGTGGTGCAAAGTGAGGTCTTTAAGAAGATCAACTGTTAAGAAATGTCAGTTTGGTTCAACAGCCCCAACTTTGTTAAACATATTTAAGAGCCAGGTGAGACACATGCTCAACATACCCACTTATCCTTATCTAGAAAGCCTGACCTGAGATTCTGAATCTAAATTTCTGGAAAGTTATTTTATTTTTTATTTTTTTTGTATTTTTAAAACTATGTTTTATTTTTATTATTTTTTAATTATTATTATTATACTTTAAGTTTTAGGGTACATGTGCACAATGTGTAGGTTAGTTACATATGTATACATGTGCCATGCTGGTGTGCTGCACCCACTAACTCGTCATCTAGCATTAGGTATATCTCCCAATGCTATCCCTCCCCCCTCCCCCCACCCCACAACAGTCCCCAGAGTGTGATGTTCCCCTTCCTGTGTCCATGTGTTCTCATTGTTCAATTCCCACCTATGAGTGAGAATATGTTATTAATGAGCCCAGGAGCAGTGGCTCATGCCTGTAATCCCAGCACACTGGGAAGCCGAGGTGGGCAGACTGCTTGAGCTCTGAGCCCGGCAAACCCTGTCTCTACAAAAAAATACAAAAATTAGCCAAGTGTGGTGGCGTGTGCCTGTAGTCCCAGCTACTTGGGAGGCTGAGGTGGGAGGATGGCTTGAGCCCAGGAGGCGGATGTTGCAGTGAGCTGAGATCATGCCACTGCACTCTAGCCTGGGTGACAAAGCCACACCCTGTGTCACACACACACACACACACACACACACACACACACAGTTATGAATGAGATCAAAGCACAGAAATTAAACATACATACGCACTCACTAAAAACAGGAAAACTGCTTCGCTCTTGTCTGATCAAAATAATTCTAACTATATTGGTGGTTTAACAGCAGAGCATGACATAAAGTTTATCACCTACGGTGTGTGTTTTTACCTTGGGCAAGTGATTAAATGTGTCCTCTGATAAAAAATATGGTTAAGAACATATACTCCAGAAGGTGTTTTAAGGAATAGATTAAAACATGTATATTAAAGCACTTTGTGGGTGCTATATAACCATTTTAATGATTACTATCCTTTGTACAAGAGATTCTTGGGTAGTTAACAAGATTAGAAGTGAAAATGACTGAAACAGTAATAGTAAATAATTTCTCATATATCTGACATCTTCAGTTATGCTTCAAATAATTTACAAGGTTTGTTATTTATCCCCTAAAAAAATTATTTAGCAGTAAAAAATTAGATGTCTGAACATTTCACATGGATACCATAAGGCCAAGGATCAATAAATCTAATGAAATACTCACACCAGGAAACGCAGTTTTTCACTTTGTATTATTTTGTTGCTCATAGTCACAGTTGAAACATACTGAATGCTTCTGGAAGGCTGAGGGAATTCGAATGAATGTCAAATGCTTGCCTCAACAGAAAATTAACTAAGACTTAATGGCTTTCCATTGAGAAAGAAGAAAAACAAAACATAAGTAAGGGAAGACAAGGATGCCATACACCACAATAACCACTGGGAAAGCCCTAATTTGCCATCCAAAGCCTCAGCAACCATTATCACATTTGAGATATTATGTAGTGTAAGAGTAACTGGCATACAACCACATCCATTTATGAGTTATATTATTTAGACATTAAATACTCATCTGTATTCCTTATACCAATGACAAATAATCTAAGAAAGCAAACAATTGTTTAAAAATAGTTTCACCTATTTATAGGAGCTAAAATTTCCTCATGGTATGGCTTTTCCACAAGATCACATGACATTTTTTTTGCTTTAACAAAATATACTTGGATAAAGTATTATGAGTCTCTTGCCTTGACTTTAAATTCTACAAAAAAAGCTGCAGGTCATTAAGTATGAGCTTAGAGACACCTTGTAAAAGCTAAAGTCTCTTTAAAACATATTAAAATAGGCTGGGTGTGGTGGCTCACGCCTGTAAGCACTTTGGGAGCCAAGACAGGCAGATTACCTGAGGTCAGGACTTGGAGACCAGCCTGGCCAACAGAGCAAAACCCTGTCTCTACTAAAAATACAAAAATTAGCCGGGTGTGTTGGTGCACACCTGTAATCCCAGCTACTCGGGAGGCTGAGGCAGGAGAATCACTTGAACCCAGTAGGTGGAGGTTGCAGGGAGCCAAGATTGCCCCAATGCACTCCAGCCTGGGCAACAGAGCAAGACTCCATCTCAAAACAAAAAACAACAAAAAAGCATATTAAAATTATTTAAAGGATCAAGGAATCACTTGAAGTTAGTAAAAAATATTCGTATATTAACTATGAGTTGACTATAAACTGATTTTAAATTTAAACATAAATGTCACACATGATACACCTCATTTTCTGTATTATTTCTTCAAAGTAGTCAGGTTGGATCGCTATACTTTTACTCCAATGATACCATCGTTACTGAAAACAACTCTGGGGCTGTTCCTTTCAAATACCACTAAGAGCTAGTTTGTAAGTTACATAAGAAAACTTTTTTTAAGACAGGGTCTCACTGTCACCCAGGCTGGAGTGCAGCCTTGACCTCCTAGGCTAAAGTGATTCTCCGATCTCAGCCTCACAAGCAGCTGAAACTACAGGCTCTCATCACCACACTCTACTAATTTTTTGTACAGGTGATGGGGTTTCATCATGTTGCCTAGGTTTGTCTCGAGCTCCTGGGCTCAAGCAATCTACCTGCCTTGGCCTCCCAAAGTGCTGGGACTACAAGTGTGAGCCCCCATGTCCAGCAGAAAAACCTCATCTTAAACAAAAAACAGTATTACTAAACGTGACATTTTGTCTTGCTTATCAAAAAATTTCAAGTATGAGATTTTCCACATTCTACAAGAATGTATTTCAGACTTTGACAACACTTCCAAAAAATTATTTCCCTAAAATGTTGTGCTCAAAGGCAGCAAAGTTGGAACTAAGTGCATCACCTCCAAAGGTGACTCTTCTGAGATGAACAACGTTCATTTGGATGCATTTATTCTTACATGGTTGTTTCAGAATTTTTCCTTTTTTTTTTTTTTTTTTTAAACAGAATCTCACTCTGTCTTGCCCAGGTTGGAGTGCAGTGGTGCGATTTCGGTTTACTGCAACCTCTGCCTGCCGGGTTCAAGCAATTCTCCTGTCTCACCCTCCCAAGTAGCTGGGACTATAGCCATGTGCCACCACACTTGGCTATTTATTTATTAAGATGGAGTCTCATGCTGTCACCCAGGCTGGAGTGCAGTGGCATTATCTTGGCTCACTGCAACCTCTGCCTCCCGGGCTCAAGCGATTCTCCTGCCTCAGCCTCCTGAGTAGCTGGAATTACAGGCGCGCAAAGCATGCCCGGCTAATTTTTGTATTTTTAGAAGAGATGGGGTTTTGCCATGTTGGCAGGCTGGTCACGAACTCCTGACCTCAAGTGATCTGCCCACCTCGGCCTCCTAATGTGATGGGATTACAGGCGTGAGCCACCACGCCCGGCCTCCACATTGTTTTACAGACTTAAACTTCATAAATACATCCCAATGGATTATTTCCTTTGAGGATTATACACTTAAACTGAAATAAATGAACCATAGGTGATTCAAAAAAACTTTTGGCCGGGCACAGTGGCTTATGCCCGTAATCCTAGCACTTTGGGATGCCGAGGTGGGTGGATCACCTGAGGTCAGGAGTTCTATGAGACCAGCCTGGCCAACATAGCGAAACCCCGTCTCTATAAAATATACAAAAATTAGGCCAGGCACGGTGGCTCATGCCTGTAATCCCAGCATTTTGGGAGGCCGAGGCAGGCGGATCACTTCAGGTCAGGAGCTCAAGACCAGCCTGGCCAAAATGGTGAAACCCCATCTCTACTAAAAATACAAAACTTAGCTGGGCATGGTAGCACATGACTGTTTAATCTCAGCTACTCGGGAGACTGAGGCAAGAGAAGCTCTTGAACCTGGGGGGCGGAGGTTGCAGTGAGCTGAGATCTCACCATTGCACTCCAGGCTGGGTGACATAGTGAGACTTTATCTCAAAAAAAAAGAAAAAACAAAACAAAACAAAAATTAGCCAGGTATGATGGTGCATGCCTGTAATCCCAGCTACTCAGGAGGCTGAGGCAGGAGAATTGCTTGAATCCAGGAGGCAGAGTTTGCAGTGAGCAGAGATCATGCCACTGCATTCCAGCCTAGGCAATAAGAGTGAGACTTGGTCTCAAAACAAACAAACAATAACAAAAATCTTTTTACAGAGCAACAGATGGACTGCAACCACTAACATTTTTTGTATGTGTCAAGTCATAACCACCAGATTATTCAGAATGTATCAATCACTAAATTATCTTTGTTGTACAAGGCAAAGACTTGCTTTACCACTAACACCCAAGTAATGTGGATTACTTATATAAACCAAGTTATCACAGAAAACAAAACCACTCAAGAAATCTTCTGGCTCAAATGAGAATTCCAATTCCAATCACTAGGATTAAATAAAGTCTTTTTCCTTCAAACCGTAGTCATGTAGGTCTATAATTAAAACTGGTAATTAGGCCTAATAAGGTGGCTCATGCCTGTAATCCTAACACTTTGGGACGCCAAGGTGGATCATTTGAGTCCAGGAGCTTGAGATCAGCCTGGGCAACATGACAAACCCTGTCTCTACAAAAAATACAAAAATCAGCTAGACATGGTGTTTCTACAAAAAAATACAAAAATTAGTCTGGCATGGTGGTGCACACCTGTAGTTCCAGCTACTCAGGAGGCTGAGCTGGAAGGATCACTTGAGCCCAGGGAGGCTGAGGCTGTAGTGAGCTGTGACTGCGTCACTGCACTTCAGCCTGGGCGACAGAGTGAGACCCTGTCCCAAAAAAACAAAAACAAAAAAACTGGTAATTAGTGTTTTTTTTTTTTTGTTTTTTTGAGATGGAGTCTCACTCTGTCGCCCAGGCTGGAGTGCAGTGGCGCCATCTCAGCTCACTGCAAGCTCCGCCTCCCAGGTTCACGCCATTCTCCTGCCTCAGCCTCCCGAGTAGCTGGGACTACAGGTGCCCGCCACCACGACCAGCTAAGTTTTTGTATTTTTAGTAGAGACGGGATTTCACTGTGTTAGCCAGGATGGTCTCGATCTCCTGACCTCGTGATCCGCCCGCCTCGGCCTCCCAAAGTGCTGGGATTACAGGCGTGATCCACTGCGTCCGGACTTAGTTTTAATACTATCATTGAATAATTACATACAAAACCTAGATTCTCTGTATATCCAGATAAAGACATCTAAGACCCGGAAGTTAAAGTTCAAAGTGTGAACAGAAAATTTATACTCCAAGATGGTCATTGTTAAACAGTAATAGACTTGGCTATGGTTTAGAAAAGGAGGGATTTATCAAAATTTGTCTAGAAAGACAGACAATATCAAGTGTTGGGTGAAGATGTACAGAAATTCAAACTCTCATTCACTGCTGGTAGCAATGTAAAATAATGCAGCTACTTTGGAAAATCATTTGGCAGTTCCTCTAAAGTTAAACACTGAGGTACCATATGACTCAATTCCACTCCTAGATATGTATCTAAAAAAACTGAATGCATACGTCCACACAAACGCTTATATATTGTATGAATACAATAGAATATTATTCAGCTATAAAAAGGGATAAAGTTCTGATACATGCTACAACATGGATGAATCTTGAAAATATTAAAGTAAAAGAAGGCAGTCACAAAAGAGCACATATTGTATGATTCCACTTATATGAAACATCTAAACTGTGCAAATCCATAGAGACAGAAAGTAGATCAGTGGTTGCCAGGGGCTGAGGGGGGGCAGGAGGAAAGGGGAGAGTGACTGTTGATGGCTATGAGGTTTCTTTTTGGAGTGATGAAAATGTTTAAAATTAGACAGTGGTAATGAGTACACAACTCTGAATATGCAAAATTGTATACTTTTTTTTTTTTTTTTTTGAGATGGAATCTCGCTCTGTCACCCGGGCTTGAGTGCTGTGGCGCTATCTCAGCTCACTGCAAGCTCCGCCTCCCAGGTTCAAGCCATTCTCCTGCCTCAGCCTCCCAAGTAGCTGGGACTACAGGTGCCTGCCACCGCGCCCAGCTGATTTTTTGTATTTTTAGTAGAGACGGGGTTTCACCGTGTTAGCCAGGATGGTCTTGATCTCCTGACCTCGGGATTCACCTGCCTCGGCCTCCCAAAGTGCTGGGATTACAGGCGTGAACCACCACGCCCGGCCCAAAATTGTATACTTAAAAAAAAGATTTTTTTTTTTTTTTCCAGACAGGGTCTCTCTCCATTGTCCAGGCTGGAGTGCAGTGGCTTGATCTCAGCTTGCTGCAGCATCAACCTCCCGGGCTCAAGTGATTCTCCCACCTCAGCCTCCTGAGTAGTTGGGACTACAGGCATCAACCACCACATCCAGCTAATTTTTGCAATTTTTTTTGTAGAGGCAGGGTATCACTATGTTGCCCAGGCTGGTCTCGAACTCCTGGACTCAAGTGACTCTCCCAACCTCAGTCTCCCAAAGTGCAGGGATTATAGGTGTGAGCCACTGTGCCCAGGCAATTGTACACTTCAAAAAGGGTGAATTTCATTTCAATGAATTTTTTTTTTTTAAACTTGCCTAGGGGGTCAGAGTCAGGTTATCAAGATGGGTATTAAATGGAAAGGATAATGTCCCATGATAAAGGAAGGGCATTCAAACCAGGTGGAAAAGAGTATGCAAAAGCAGAGAGACATGTGAGGATGTCAGGGCATGGCAAAGGGGGCAATGGTGAGATGGTCAGCATAGCTGAAGCACCAAGTAGAGTTTAAAGCATCCTTCTACAGACATTACCCAACACTATGATGATTTAAGATGATTAACCAGTATTATTCCATATAAATGATCAATTGAGACAAATGCTTTTAAGACTTTTTTCTAGCATTATAGTGGAGATAATGTACAAAACATTCATTTGTCATTCTGAGCTTTTTGGGCAGACTTTGTGGCTTAGCCAGCTCCTAGAGTCTTCTTGGATCAACTGCCCTGATGATACCTTCAACAATGTGTCATAAACACTTCCCTGAGAATAGCCCAGAAGTTCACACAGGCTTACTTGGAATCACATCAACAACAGTAGAATCATCAGATTTTCAGAATACAAGGTCAGCATCTAGCCTCTTACCAAAATGACTTTCGATCTGCTTTGGCTCAGCAATCGTGCAAGTAAGGTGAGCTGTATAACAGATTATGAAGAGACTTGTATGAGATGCTAAAAAATATTTTTATAAGCCAGTGACTTTTTGAAATGTAGTACATATATGATTGGGTGCTACATGAAACAGGCATTTCATAGTTCTATATTTCCTTTTACTGTTGCCTTTTGTTGGTTTTCTAGTTATGGCAATCAATATTGATTTTCCATTCACAGTATAAACTTTCCTTTAAGAAAAAAAAGTCTATAAAAATACTGAATAAATAATATAGATGGTTATGAAGAAATGGCAAAAAAAAAAAAAATCCCCGAAGTAATACATGAATACCTTAAGCAAGAAAACTTAGCTAAAAGGAGCACATAAAGATTTTACCTGGAAGTGAAATGGTCACATTTCAGAGAGATGATTCTGGCAGTAATGTGTAAGATGGAGGCAATCTTACACCGGGGTAAAATACCGGTGACAAATACTCCAATTAGGAAATTGTTGTAATAGCCTAGACCAGAGGTCAGCAAAGTATGGCCCACTTACAATATCCTTCCCACAGCCTGCTTGTGACCTATTTTTGTATGGCCTCCAGGCTAAGTATGATTCTTACTTTTTTTTTTTTTTTTTTTTTTTTGAGACAGAGTCTCACTCTGTCGCTCAGGCTGGAGTGCAGTGGCGCGATCCCGGTTCACTGCAACCTCTGCCTCCCGGGTTCAAGCGATTCTCCTGCCCCAGCCTCCTGAGTAGCTGGGATTACAGGCACATACCCACACACCACCACGCCCAGCTAATTTATCTTTAGTAGAGACGGGTTTTCACCATGTTGGCCAGGCTGATCTTGAACTCCTGACCTCGTGATCCACCCTGCCTCGGCTTCCCAAAGTGCTGCAATTACAGGTGTGGGTTCTTACATTTCTTTCTTTTTTAAAAAAAAAAAAAATTAAAAAAAAACTTTATATGGGCTATAAAGCCTAAAATGTTTACTATTTGGTCCTTTACAGAAAAAATTTGCCAACCCCAGCTTAGACAACTGCTGAAGCTACCAAATAAGTTGGTAGCATGAGAGTGAAGCATAAAACAAAATTTCTGAAGCAGAATCAGTAAGACTTAATGACTAATCAGATGTATGTGGTAAGAGCAGGTAAAAATTAAGATTCTATAAACTCAGACAGATAGGGATACTATCATCCAAGAGAAGAAAACAGAAAGGAGAGCATCTTTTTAAAATTAAATCATTTTTCTTTGATTATGAAAAATAAGTGACAACAAGCCAAAATT